>NC_000010.11:6222121-6373636 GCF_000001405.40 Homo sapiens | reverse complement strand
AATGGACTAAATTCTGCAATTAAAAGACACAGACTGGCAAGTTGGATAAAGAGTCAAGACCCATCAGTGTGCTGTATTCAGGAAACCCATCTCACGTGCAGAGACACACATAGGCTCAAAATAAAAGGATGGAGGAAGATCTACCAAGCAAATGGAAAACAAAAAAAGGCAGGGGTTGCAATCCTAGTCTCTGATAAAACAGACTTTAAACCAACAAAGATCAAAAGAGACAAAGAGGGCCATTACATAATGGTAAAGGGATCAATTCAACAAGAGGAGCTAACTATCCTAAATATTTATGCACCCAATACAGGAGCACCCAGATTCATAAAGCAAGTCCTGAGTGACCTACAAAGAGACTTAGACTCCCACACATTAATAATGGGAGACTTTAACACCCCACTGTCAACATTAGACAGATCAACGAGACAGAAAGTCAACAAGGATACCCAGGAATTGAACTCAGCTCTGCACCAAGCAGACCTAATAGACATCTACAGAACTCTCCACCCCAAATCAACAGAATATACATTTTTTTCAGCACCACACCACACCTATTCCAAAATTGACCACATAGTTGGAAGTAAAGCTCTCCTCAGCAAATGTAAAAGAACAGAAATTATAACAAACTATCTCTCAGACCACAGTGCAATCAAACTAGAACTCAGGATTAAGAATCTCACTCAAAGCCGCTCAACTACATGGAAACTGAACAACCTGCTCCTGAATGACTACTGGGTACATAACGAAATGAAGGCAGAAATAAAGATGTTCTTTGAAACCAAGGAGAACAAAGACACCACATACCAGAATCTCTGGGACGCATTCAAAGCAGTGTGTAGAGGGAAATTTATAGCACTAAATGCCTACAAGAGAAAGCAGGAAAGATCCAAAATTGACACCCTAACATCACAATTAAAAGAACTAGAAAAGCAAGAGCAAACACATTCAAAAGCTAGCAGAAGGCAAGAAATAACTAAAATCAGAGCAGAACTGAAGGAAATAGAGACACAAAAAACCCTTCAAAAAATCAATGAATCCAGGAGCTGGTTTTTTGAAAGGATCAACAAAATTGATAGACTGCTAGCAAGACTAATAAAGAAAAAAAGAGAGAAGAATCAAATAGACACAATAAAAAATGATAAAGGGGATATCACCACCGATCCCACAGAAATACAAACTACCATCAGAGAATACTACAAACACCTCTACGCAAATAAACTAGAAAATCTAGAAGAAATGGATACATTCCTCGACACATACACTCTCCCAAGACTAAACCAGGAAGAAGTTGAATCTCTGAATAGACCAATAACAGGCTCTGAAATTGTGGCAATAATCAATAGTTTACCAACCAAAAAGAGTCCAGGACCAGATGGATTCACAGCCGAATTCTACCAGAGGTACAAGGAGGAACTGGTACCATTCCTTCTGAAACTATTCCAATCAATAGAAAAAGAGGGAATACTCCCTAACTCATTTTATGAGGCCAGCATCATTCTGATACCAAAGCCGGGCAGAGACACAACCAAAAAAGAGAATTTTAGACCAATATCCTTGATGAACATTGATGCAAAAATCCTCAATAAAATACTGGCAAACCGAATCCAGCAGCACATCAAAAAGCTTATCCACCATGATCAAGTGGGCTTCATCCCTGGGATGCAAGGCTGGTTCAATATACGCAAATCAATAAATGTAATCCAGCATATAAACAGAGCCAAAGACAAAAACCACATGATTATCTCAATAGATGCAGAAAAAGCCTTTGACAAAATTCAACAACCCTTCATGCTAAAAACTCTCAATAAATTAGGTATTGATGGGACGTATTTCAAAATAATAAGAGCTATCTATGACAAACCCACAGCCAATATCATACTGAATGGGCAAAAACTGGAAGCATTCCCTTTGAAAACTGGCACAAGACAGGGATGCCCTCTCTCACCGCTCCTATTCAACATAGTGTTGGAAGTTCTGGCCAGGGCAATCAGGCAGGAGAAGGAAATAAAGGGTATTCAATTAGGAAAAGAGGAAGTCAAATTGTCCCTGTTTGCAGATGACATGATTGTTTATCTAGAAAACCCCATCGTCTCAGCCCAAAATCTCCTTAAGCTGATAAGCAACTTCAGCAAAGTCTCAGGATACAAAATCAATGTACAAAAATCACAAGCATTCTTATACACCAACAACAGACAAACAGAGAGCCAAATCATGGGTGAACTCCCATTCACAATTGCTTCAAAGAGAATAAAATACCTAGGAATCCAACTTACAAGGGATGTGAAGGACCTCTTCAAGGAGAACTACAAACCACTGCTCAAGGAAATAAAAGAGGACACAAACAAATGGAAGAACATTCCATGCTCATGGGTAGGAAGAATCAATATCATGAAAATGGCCATACTGCCCAAGGTAATTTACAGATTCAATGCCATCCCCATCAAGCTACCAATGACTTTCTTCACAGAATTGGAAAAAACTACTTTAAAGTTCATATGGAACCAAAAAAGAGCCCGCATTGCCAAGTCAATCCTAAGCCAAAAGAACAAAGCTGGAGGCATCACACTACCTGACTTCAAACTATACTACAAGGCTACAGTAACCAAAACAGCATGGTACTGGTACCAAAACAGAGATATAGATCAATGGAACAGAACAGAGCCCTCAGAAATAATGCCACATATCTACAACTATCTGATCTTTGACAAACCTGAGAAAAACAAGCAATGGGGAAAGGATTCCCTATTTAATAAATGGTGCTGGGAAAACTGGCTAGCCATATGTAGAAAGCTGAAACTGGATCCCTTCCTTACACCTTATACAAAAATCAATTCAAGATGGATTAAAGATTTAAACGTTAAACCTAAAACCATAAAAACCCTAGAAGAAAACCTAGGCATTACCATTCAGGACATAGGCGTGGGCAAGGACTTCATGTCCAAAACACCAAAAGCAATGGCAACAAAAGACAAAATTGACAAATGGGATCTAATTAAACTAAAGAGCTTCTGCACAGCAAAAGAAACTACCATCAGAGTGAACAGGCAACCTACAACATGGGAGAAAATTTTCGCAACCTACTCATCTGACAAAGGGCTAATATCCAGAATCTACAATGAACTCAAACAAATTTACAAGAAAAAAACAAACAACCCCATCAAAAAGTGGGCGAAGGACATGAACAGACACTTCTCAAAAGAAGACATTTATGCAGCCAAAAAACACATGAAGAAATGCTCATCATCACTGGCCATCAGAGAAATGCAAATCAAAACCACTATGAGATATCATCTCACACCAGTTAGAATGGCAATCATTAAAAAGTCAGGAAACAACAGGTGCTGGAGAGGATGCGGAGAAATAGGAACACTTTTACACTGTTGGTGGGACTGTAAACTAGTTCAACCATTGTGGAAGTCAGTGTGGCGATTCCTCAGGGATCTAGAACTAGAAATACCATTTGACCCAGCCATCCCATTACTGGGTATATACCCAAATGAGTATAAATCATGCTGCTATAAAGACACATGCACACGTATGTTTATTGCGGCACTATTCACAATAGCAGAGACTTGGAACCAACCCAAATGTCCAACAATGATAGACTGGATTAAGAAAATGTGGCACATATACACCATGGAATACTATGCAGCCATAAAAAATGATGAGTTCATATCCTTTGTAGGGACATGGATGAAATTGGAAACCATCATTCTCAGTAAACTATCGCAAGAACAAAAAACCAAACACCGCATATTCTCACTCATAGGTGGGAATTGAACAATGAGATCACATGGACACAGGAAGGGGAATATCACACTCTGGGGACTGTGGTGGGGTCGGGGGAGGGGGGAGGGATAGCACTGGGAGATATACCTAATGCTAGATGACACATTAGTGGGTGCAGCGCACCAGCATGGCACATGTATACATATGTAACTAACCTGCACAATGTGCACATGTACCCTAAAACTTAGAGTATAATAAAAAAAAAAAAAAAAAAAAAAAAAAAAAAAGGAAAATGATTTGCTGATTTATAAAATTGTAAGCATCACAACTTTCATGAACTTTCCCTGAAACTCTCACAGGTGGATAGTTGTAGTTAATTTGCAAGATGAAGAAGCCTGTGAGTTGAGAACTGCATCAAGGAAAGCCGTGAATTTGCGATTCAGAACAGAGCAACTTTCCCATCATTCACAGCCCAGGATGGCTGAGCACAGCCAGAAAAGAGTGCTCTTCTTTTGGCCAGGGGCACCTGCCCTACAGACAACAATTTCTTCTAGAGCATAAATTGTTCACCTGAAAATATTGTAAAGTGTTGGTACTTTTAGCAAGGAAAAAAGCTTATATTCTAGAAAAATAAATTCAGAAAGGACACCACTCATAATTTTGGAATTACCGATAATTAAATTCAAGTCAATCAATTTTTATGGAGTAAAGTCCAGGTAGTTAAAGGCATACCAAGTTAAATAAACTATTCCTGGCCGTCAACAGGTTAAAAAACTCTAGGAGGCATGCAGGACATAGTAAAGTATAGTGGAAAAAAACATAAGCTGGGAGCCAGGAAACCTAGCAGCTAGTCCTGGCTCTGTCATGTCCCAATCGGCATCTGCTGGTATCAAGAAATAGATGCCAAAATTATCTTTCATTTAAGAAGCGGGGTGGCTGGGTGCAAATGGGCTTTTGCTGGAACTGGAGCTGGAACCAGAGCTACCCCAGGAACCATGGAAGTGTTACAGGAAAAAGGGTCCTGATCCAGACCCCAAGAGAGGATTCTTGATCTCGCACAAGAAAGAATTCAGGACGAGCCTGTAAAGTGAAAGCAAGTTTATCAAGAAAGTAAAGTGGTGAAAGAATAGCTCGTCCACAGGCAGAGTACGGTATTCCTGAAAGCAAGAGGAAGAATGTGTTCACCCTAGGTACAACATTTGTTTATATATAGGATAAAAAATAGATTACAGGGAGATGTGTTCTGCTGCAAGGATTTGTGATAAAGCATTAATTTTCTTAATTATTGTATTTTGCAAGAATCGCTATTATTTTCTTTAAGGCAAAATTAGGAATGCTTCTGTTCTCAAGATATCAGGATACAAGAACACTCCTAAGCCTAGGTCTGTTTAGTAAATGTTATCCATCTGTTCCCTTAACCATAAACATCTAGAGGCCAGGAATACCTAACTTTCTGGGAGCGCAACCCAGCAAGTCTCAGCCCCATTTTCCTAGCTCTCACTCAAGATGAAGTCGCTCTGGTTCGAACGCCTCTGACAGAAACCCAGGCTAATTCCTCTCTCACATGGGCCATGTGGTTGCTCCTTCTAGGACTTTTGCTTGCCGAATGTGCCCTGTTCCCTTTACTCTCTCCTTTACAGTTCAGGCTCCCTCCCAGTCTCAACTGCATGCTTCACCATAGCCATGCAAATGCCCTCCATATTACGACATTAGCAATTTCAGCTTCCGTTTCTTGGTTCACATTTCTAAGGGGGGAAATCTGATTGGCCAAGGTCATGTGTCAAAGGTTGTGAACAAATCAAAAGATCGACTGTACATGGGTCAGATGACCATGCTGGTTCAATGGACTGTCACAGGGAATTGGGGTCACGAGTTTCCCAAGATAGCTACCTGCAGATAAGCCAGTTTTCCTTAGAAGGAGGTGTTAGTAAGACAGGCAATAATTCTCATCCTTCCACGGCCATTAACTGGTTGGGGTATTTGAAACAAATCACTTAATCCCCCAGCTTGACCTTTTTCAACTGTAAAGGGAAGCGTTCAACATCTCCAAAGCTTCTTTCTTCTAGTACTAATGTCTGGTCATATATACTACACAATACAGAATACAATGGCAAAATATAAAGAAACCAGCTATACCTACTGGGGATACAGGGATTGCTATGTACCCAAGACTTGAAAACAGCAAAGGTCTAGAGCAATGAGTATTTTCAGGAGCACCTGAAAAAAATCTGGGTTTCAATGGCAGGACTGTCTCAGGGTCTTTGAATTGCTTGGACTATATACCTCTTGGACAAGATGGCTTTTATTCAACAGGGTTGGTGATTACCATAGCTATGAAAATGATGATGACAATTTAGGAGCCACAGCTGCTCAATCCTGCACCCTTCTCTTCTCCCTTATTGCCCACCTTCTCTTACAGGACCCCTATACCATCCCTGCCTATAGTAAGAGCTCAGTGGCCAGTGTGCCACTTCTAACAAGTTACTTCTTTTCATCTTTGAGTGTCCTAACACCTCATTCTCCCATTTGTAATCACTGATTGAGAGAGTTTAGATGTTGTCCCCCACCAAATCTCATGTCAAAATGTAATCCCCAGTGGTGAAGGTGGGGCCTGGTGGGAGGTGATTGGATCATGGGGGTAGATTTCTCACGAATGGTCTAGCACCATCCTCTTGGTGCTGTTCTCATGACAGTGAGTTCTCGAAAGATGTGGTTGTTAAAAGTGTGTGGCGCCTTCCCCCTCTCTCTTCCACGTGCTTTCTCCATGTGGTGTGCCTGCTTCCCTTTGCCTTCTGCCATGATTGTAGCTTCCTGAGGCCTCCCCAGAAGCCAAGTAGATGCTGGCGCTGGTGCAGGCTGTACAGGAAGCATAGCTTGCAGAACCGTAAGCCAATTAAATTCCTTTTTTTATAAATTACCCGGTCCCAGGTATTTCTTTATAGCAATGTGAGAATGCACTAACACACTGATCAAAACTAAAATCTGAAACATCATTTATGTTTTAGGGTGAATGTAAATCAGTGTGTAACCCCTCCTAAGGCATTTGCATTTAGCCCATGTATGAAAAGGGAGGTGTTCATTTTAGACAAGTTGTAGGGGGGTATCAAAGAATTATTTCTCTCTCTTATTTAACTTCCATTTTTCTATGAGATGGGTCTTTTTCGGTGCATCGCTGCAGAGACTGATAAGTAACCCCTCACTCTGTGATATACATATAAGAAGCACATAATGCATTGGCAGAGATAGCACTCAAGAAAGAAGGAATTAAATCAGCCTTGTGCACTCCACATTGCACCTTATGCAGAGGGAGAAGGGCACCAGAAATGCCATGGGAAATTAGGCCTCATTGACATGATAAAAGAAAAACCTCAGCAGAATTAAATTTAAAGGAGTTCAATTGAGGAATGAATGATTCGCGAATTGGGCAGCCCCCAGAATCACAGCAGATTCACAGAGACTCCAGGGGTGCCTCATGGTCAAAACAAATTTATAGACAAAAGAAGTAAAGCGATGTACAGGAATCAGAAGCGAGGTACAGAAACAGTGAGATTGGTTATAGCTCGGCGTTTGCCTTATTTGAACACAGTTTGAACATTCAGCAGTCTATGAGTGGTTGAAGCATGGCCACTAGGATTGGCCAACACTCAGCCATTGTTACAGGTGCATACTATTAAGCTAGGTTTTCCATTTTTTCTGACTGTTAAGCTAGGTTGCAGTTCATCCATGAGGACTCAAATATAGAAGTATGGAGTCCTTCTCCGGCCATATTTAGTTTGCTTTAACAGGCATATAGATTGTTTTGAGCTAAAACAACCACATTGATTGCAGGACAAGGCCTTTACCTCTTCCCTTACTCCCTAAAACTGGAGTATATAAATTTCCCCTCCTGTAAAGGAAATTTACTTTTATAATGGAAATCTCCACTTGTAAAGACGTCCCCATACCACGAAGAGAGCTACTCTCCAAGACAACAACTCTCATCACCTGACTTACCTGCATAACAAGGCAAACTTATTTACCCTACGTCTCCTCCCCTCCCCTTCTCATAACTTGCCTCCCCACTCAGAAGCCCAAGACCCCTTTTTACTGTGTTTAGTCTAAGATGATACATAAGCCTCAATCAACTGGCCGCCTCCTTGAGCCATGTGTTTCCTTGTAAGCTTTTGTACATGCCTACATAATTTAAATTGTTTTTTTTTCCTCTTGTTAATCTGCCTTTTATCAGTTTGATTCTTGGGCCCAAGTCATTGAACCTAGGAGGGTGGAATGGGAAATATTTGTTCTCCCCTGCCAGGGCTGCAATGTCTTCATGTTAGGAATGTGTCAACAGAAGAGAGATAATAGAGATAGAATCAGAAAAATAAACATCCAAAGCTGTTCAGGATAGAACAGCATGGGATCTCGGGGAGAAATTTTTACCAATCACTGAAGGAAGGCATTGGCTGGGCTCCCACTGTGGCCTAAAAAAGCACCCCTGGAGAACACCGCTTTGGCTTTGTTCTGGTTCCACGGTCAGCCAAATAATGACCAGCTGACCAATGAGTGTGAAATAAATGACTACTGTTAAAAGCCTCTGAGATTTCAGTTATTTGTTGTATAACATAATTATAGCCAAAACCTAACCCAACTTTTAAAATTAGACTTTCCTCCAAAACTTCACAGCATCTTAAGGATGTCAAGCACACACACAAGATGCAATGCAGTCATCCCTCATCAGGAAAACACTGACTGCAAGCTATTTGTGGATCATGCACACACTGAGGGCATCGGAAGCATCTCAGCAGAAACTGTCAAGTGGCCTCCACTTCACAGACTCACAGATTAATGACAGCTCTCCATGGCCTCTGTAAAACAGACTCAGTCGTGCCTGGAGCATACTGGCAGTTCACTGCCAGGAAGCTTATCTTCAGAGGCACACACTGGGCTGCTGTCTCTACTAGAGTCAATGACAGTGGTTCTCAAACCTATGCAGGCTCTTTTAGCAAAACATTCCACGATGAATGAAATATGAACACAAAAGAGAGTTGTTTCCAAAAAAACTAAGTTGAGTGCTTTGAAACGACCCAGTTAGGCAAAGTGTTATACATATATATATATGTGTGTATATATATATATGTGTGTGTGTATGTGTGTGTATATATATATATACACACACACACATATATGTATATATTCAGAAAACAATTGGCAGCTTCTTTTTTTTTTTGAATGATGGTAAAATACATATAACATAAAATTTACCATCTGTTATGGACTGAATGTTTGTGTCTTTCCAAAATCCCTATGTAGAAGCCTAACCCCAGAGTGGCTGTATTTGAAGCTGCAACCTCTAAGGAAGTAATTAAGGTTCAATGAGGCCCTAAGGGTGGGGCCCTGATCCAATAGGATTAGTGTCCTTATGAGAAGTGACATCTGAGAGTGCTCCCCGACTCCACCCTGCCATGTGAGAACAGAGAAAATGCACTACCTTCAAGCCAAAAAGAGAGGCCTCACCTGAAATTGACTTGACCAGCACCTCGATGTGTCACTTCTAGCCTCCAGAACTGTGAGAAAATAAATGTCTGTTGTTTAGGCCACCCAGTCTGTGCTATTTTGTTATGGCAGTCAGAGCTGACTAAGACACCATTTTAACCATGTTTAAGTATGCAGTTCAGGGTATTAAGTACGTTACCATTGGTGTGCAAAATTGACTTTTTAATGCTGTTTAACTAGAGGTAAATAAGACCATTGTAAAAGATGGGGGATGAAATCATAAAAGCCTAAACCTCTGCATTTGGATTGCTTTTCAAGCACCTTTAAATTCTCACTCCTTTATAAGGAACCCAAACTGGAAAAGGAAATAAATATTCTGACAGTACTCTATGAAGAAAGTCTGAAGAACTTCTATTAGAGAAACCACACTCAAAAAGTCTTCCACCAAAGGGTCAATAAATGAATGTTCTTATGTTTTAAGTGAGAACGTTTTACTCTGTTGGTTTTATTTATTTTTTTATTTCCTTCTTTGACTGACTGACTCTTTTGATTAATCAGCTGATTGCTGGTGTCTACCATGTTAGATAAGGGAGCTTGTGCAAGTTCCATTCCACCTGGCTGGGTCTTAAAGGATGAATGGACTTCCACCAGGCAAGGAGAATGAGAACAAAAATCTGGGTGGAGGAAACAGGTTGAACAAAGTCACAGAAGCATGAATGTACATGACATAGGAAGGAATTGGTGCAATATCAAGTGTGACCAGGACATAAGGTCATCAGGGCCTCCCAGGAGGAAAAGTCAGCAAAGTACATTGGTCTCAGATTGCTCAATGCCTTGAAAATCATGCTAAGATACTTAACGCTTGATCCTCTGGGCAACCATTGAAGGTATTCCTTGGGGCTGTGATCTGACACAAGCTATGGTTAAGCGCAGCACATGCATTAAAGGAAGGGATAACTAACTTCAGATGTTTTCTGCAAGAGCCCATGTAAGAGATGACAGAGGTTTGAAATACATAGTGGCAGCAAAAAATGGATCTGTGGGCACAGACATGATAGGCATTTTGCAAGTAAAATTGACAGTCAAGAATAAAAAGAAGGATGTTTTTGAGGATAGTGTGGAGATTTCTGGTTTCAGCAATGGATAAAATTGAACTGGCAGGAAATTAGTCTGTAGCTTTCTTCCAAGCAAATATCCTTTTAACATGGATAAATTAATTTTAACTGGCTGCTACATATTCCCCTGATATTATCACTTTGAACAAAAGGTGAGAACAGTGTTTGAAGTGAAAAGGTTTAAGACTCTAGAGTTCAGAGTGACCTGAAACCATAAGCAGAACACCTGCCAAGGGTCTGAAATCTCCTGGAATCAGCTGCATAGCCCAACAAGAGTTGAGGTGCTACCTCTGTTGTTGTTCCTCTGGCATGATTTCTTAAGAATACCAACTGTGTGCCAAAAGCAGTCCTTTAAAATTCTCTTCCAATACAGCTGGAGAGTATATTTTTACACTGTCTTTTTTGAAACATAATAGGATTGTTAAATTGAAATAAATTGAATTTCATTGGTCAGTTGCCACTGAAAATAACCCTATCCACTTCAATTCCTTTTCAACAGGAATCATTTCAGACATTTTCATGAGAGTTTGGGCCTTAAGCCCTTTTTTTTAAATCACTCAGAGTCCTCAGTAGTAGTTAACAGACCATGAACATTAACGAGTATACCTGTTGGCTATATATTTTGTGTGTGTTAATAATTGGTAGCAAGAATGTCCACTTGAATTTAAGTTAACACTGTAATTATGTTTATCTTACCTGTGAGGTGCTTAGAATCTGACAGAGAGAAATTGATAAAAAAAATTATAACACAAGTAAAAAGTTGAAAGTATCATAGGGAGGGAAGAGGTATAATGTTTTACTATGAGGACCTGAAATGTTATCATCTTAAGCTTATAAAAATATTAACCTGGTACTCTATGTCCTCTTCCTTCATTTCTAATTTGTCTGATTCAATTCTTTGCCATCCAAATGCTTATTTCCAAAAATGGCCTCTATGTCTTATATAAAGTTCTTCCATTCTCTCTTATTCCTTTCATTACAGTCTGAGACAGGCAGTCTCTGAAGTTCTGGGATGGATGTGCACACTTGAACTTATTTAGCCCATTAATGGAGATAAAGCCTTATTCAAGTAACGCTCTAGCCTGGATTTTCTTAGAGTCAGCCTATTTTCTCTTGAGTGTAAACTTCCTAAAGTTAATACTCTGTGCGAAAAATCCAAGGAAGTGTAGATATTGTAAAAATACTAATGTCCCTCTGGTTTGTACTCCCAGACTCTAGTCCTAGAGTAAGATATTGATCTGTTTACCCTGAAGGCAATTAAGCCTGATTTCCTCTGGAATATCAACGTTGTGTTCCTTGTTATGTATTTCCTGAAAGTTTCCATTAGAAATATATCTGTTAAGAAGACAGGGACAGAGCAAGATGGTGGAAGAAAACTCTCCAGTGATTATCTCTCTGCAGAAACATCAATTTGAACAACTATTCACACACAAAAATAATTTTACAAGAGCTGAGGAAACCAGGTGAGAGATTGCAACACCTGGCATAGCACAATAATAAGAAAAAATACCCTAAAGGGGGCAGGAAGGACAGTTTTACATTTCCCACATCATTCCTTCCCCAAACCCAGGCAGCACAGTATGGAGAGAGATGTCATTCATTTGGTGAAAAGAGAGAAAAGTGAGTACAGGACTTTGCCTTGGTCTCAACACCGGTCCTGCCACAATAAAACTCATTATTGGACAGGCCCACATAGCCCCAGACCCCAGACTGGTACCTGCAGACTGAGCCTTTATACCCACTCAGGCACCAGGCAGGACACAGGGCAAGCCAACTTCAGTGGCCCTGTGATCCAGACTGCCCTCAGTGGCAGGCAAGCCTTAGTAACCCCAGGTTTCTGGCCTGCTCCAGTGATGCACCAGCCCCAGTATCCCCAAGCTTTAGAACCATGCCAGATAGCCTGTCCAGAATCTTTGGATGAACTGATTGTTGAAAGGCTTTCCCAGACGAAGTGCCTGGGCAAAGAATGAAATGAGTACCTACTTCAAATTTGCAGACATCAATGCACAATCACTGGGATCAAGCACAATCAGGAAAACATGACATCACCAAAGAGACAAAATAAAGTGCAGGTGACTGGCCCTAAAGAAATGGAAATGTATGAACTGCTTGAGAAAGAATTGAAAATAACTCTTTTAAGGAAGCTCAGTGAACTTCCAGAAAATACAGATAAACAATTCAATAAAATAAGGAAAATAATAAGTTATCAGAACAAGAAGTCTACAGAGACAGTGAAGTAATTTTTTAAAGAAACAGAAATCCTGGAGCTGAAAAAATACAATAAGTGAAATGTAAAATGCAATACAGTATCAACAATAGAATTTATCAAGCAGAAGAAAAGGATCTGTGACCCCAAAGACAAGTTATTTGAAAATATTGTCAGAGGAGAAAAAAGAATGAAAAATAAGAAAAGCTTCTGGTACTTATGGGACAACATCAGAAGACCGAAATCCAAGTCATAAGAATTTAAGAGAAGAAAAAGATAAAGAGGTAGAAAGCTCATTTTAAAAAATAATCACAGGACACTTTCCAAACCTGCAGAAAGATGTAAATATGCAAATATAGAAAAGTCAAAGATCTCCAATCAGATTTAATCCAAAGAAGACTACCCCAAGACATAATCAAACTGTTGAAAACCAAAGCAAAGAGAGGATTCTAAAAACATCAAGGTGAAAGAAGCAAATAACGTATAAGGAAGTTCCGATACAGCTATCAACAGATATCTCAGCAGAAGGCTTACAGGCCAAGAAAGACAAGAATGATATAGTGATATATTCAAAGTGCTGAAGGGGGGAAAAACAAACAAACAAAACACCTGTTGACCAAGAACACTGTACCCAGCAAAGCTGTCCTTCAGAAATGAAGTAGATTGAGATAAAGATTTTTCCAGACAAACAAAAGGTTAAAAGTTCATCCCCACTAGACCTGTCATACAAGAAATGTTAAAGGGAGTTCTTCAAGCTGAAAGAAAATGATGCTAATGAGTAATAAAAAACAATAAAAATCACTGGTAAAACTAAGTACACAGTCAAATTCTGAATACTCTAATACTATAATGATAGTGTGTAAAACATTTATATCATTAGTATGAAGGTTTAGAGGCAAAACTATTAACTACTTATTTATATTGTATACTATATTGTATAATAGCTACAATAATTTGAGACACATGCCATATAAAGATTATGCCACCAAAAATTCAAATTAAATTTAAATTAATTTGAATTAATTACATCAAAATTCAAAATGTTGGGCAAGTGTTGGACTAAAACTGTACAGTTTTATTTTCTATTTTTTTGCAATCAAAGTTAAGTTATCTGCTTAAAATAACCTTTTATACTTCAAGATGTTTTTTGTAAGTTTCATGGTAACCACGAAAAAGCAAGAAATCAAAACATACTACTAGAAAAAAAATACAAAGGAATATAGCAAAAAAAAGAACAAAGGATTTACAAAACAACTAGAAAACAATTAACAAAATGAAAGTAGTAAGTTCTTACCTATCAATACTTACCTTGAATATAAATTGATTAAATTCTCCAATAAAAACCACAGAGTGGCTGAATAATTTTTTTAAAACAAACCAATTATGTGCTGTCTACAAGAGACTCACTTCACCTGTGAGGACACACATATGCAAAGTGATTTCATGGAGAAAGATATTCCATGCAAATTAAACCCAAAAGAGAGAAGGAATAGCTATATCAGATAAAATAGAATTTAAGTCAAAAATTGTACAAAGAAATCAAGAAGGTCATTATGTAATGATAAAAGAGTCAATTCAGCCACAGGATATAACAACTTTATATATATATATATATATATATATATATATATATATATATATACATACATACATACATACATACACACACACACACACACACACACACAGTCAATCCCAATGTTGGAGCACCTAAATATATAAAGCAAGTATTAACAGATCTTAAGGGAGATAAATTTCAATACAATAATAGTAGAGGACAACACCCCACTGACAGCAATGGAAAGAAAGAAAATTAATGAAGAAACATTGAATTTAAAGTACAGTCTAGATCAAATGGACCTAACAGACATATAGAAAACATTCCATTCAACAGCTACATAATACACATTCTTCTCAACTACACATGGAACATTCTCCAGGATAGATTATATGTTAGGCCATAAAACAAGTCTTAACAAATTTAAGAAGATTGAAATCATATCAAGTATCTTTATGACAACAATGGTACAAAACTAGAAATCAATAACCGGAGAAGCTTTGGAAAATTCACAAATACATGGAAATTAAACAACATGCTCCTGAAGAACAAATGGATCAATGAAAAAAAATTTTTAATTTTTTTTACTTTTTGAGAAAAATGAAAATTGAAATACAATATACCAAAACTTATGTAATACAACAAAAGCAATCCTAAGAGGGAAGTTTATAGCAATAAATGTCTATGTCAAAACAGAATAATGATCTCAAATAACTCACCTCAATGAACTAAAAGAACAAAAACAGAAACCATAAATATCAGAGCAGGAATAAGATCAGTGAAACTATCGGCTGGCTTTTTCAAAAGATAAACACAAATAAACAAACCTTTAGTTAGACTAAGAAAAAAAGAGAAAAAAACAAAATCAGAAAAAAAGGAAGACATTACAAAAGATACAACACAAATACAAAAGATCGCAAGAGACTATTATGAACAATTATACACTAACAAATTGGATAACTTAGGAAAAAAAACACAGGAATTACTGGCTTCACTGCTGAATACTACCAAATCTTCAAAGAATATTAATTCTTTTCAAACTCTTCCAAAAATTGAAGAGGAGGGAATACTTCCAAACTCATTTTACAATAGCAACATTATCCCAGTACCAGAGCCAAAGACACTACAAAAAAATTAAAAACTACAAGCCAATGTATCTGAACATACATACAAAAATTCTCAACAAAATCAAATTCAACAGCAAATTAAAATCATTCACTGTGATCAAGTGAGATTCATTCCATGTGTGTAAGGATGGTTCAACATAAGCTAATGAATCAATGAAATTCATCATTTCAATAGACGCATAAAAAATTGACAAAATTCAACATTCTTTAATGATAAAAAATGTTCAACAAATTAGTTATAGAAGGAATGTACACAATACAGTTCATATATGAAAAACCCACAGCTAACATCATCCCTAATGGGGGAAAGTTGAAAGCTTTTCCTCTAAGATTTGGAACAAGTCAAGAACAAGCCCTGTTCTGTTCAACATAGTATTGGAAGTCCTAGCGAGAGCAAGTATGCAAGGGAAAGAAAAAGTCATCTGTCAATTTTGGCAGATGACTTTTCTTTCTTTCCCTTGCATACTTGCTCTGGCTAGGACTTCCAAAGCAAGTATGTTGGCAAATGGGATCTAATTCAACTAAAGAGCTTCTGCACAGCAAAAGAAACTACCATCAGAGTGAACAGGCAACCTACAAAATGGGAGAAAATTTTGGCAACCTACTCATCTGACAAAGGGCTAATATCCAGAATCTACAATGAACTCAAACAAATTTACAAGAAAAAAACAAACAACCCCATCAACAAGTGGGCGAAGGACATGAACAGACACTTCTCAAAAGAAGACATTTATGCAGCCAAAAAAACACATGAAAAAATGCTCACCATCACTGGCCATCAGAGAAATGCAAATCAAAACCACAATGAGATACCATCTCACACCAGTTAGAATGGCAATCATTAAAAAGTCAGGAAACAACAGGTGCTGGAGAGGATAGAGAAATGGGAACACTTTTACACTGTTGGTGGGACTGTAAACTATTTCAACCATTGTGGAAGTCAGTGTGGCGATTCCTCAGGGATCTAGAACTAGAAATACCATTTGAACCAGCCATCCCATTACTGGGTATATACCCAAAGGACTATAAACCATGCTGCTATAAAGACACATGCACACGTATGTTTATTGTGGCACTATTCGCAATAGCAAAGACTTGGAACCAACCCAAATGTCCAAAAATGATAGATTGGATTAAGAAAATGTGGCACATATACACCATGGAATACTATGCAGCCATAAAAAATGATGAGTTCATATCCTTTGTAGGGACATGGATGAAATAGGAAATCATCATTCTCAGTAAACTATCACAAGAACAAAAAAAGCAAACACCGCATATTCTCACTAATAGGTGGGAATTGAACAATGAGAACACATGGACACAGGAAGGGGAACATCACACTCTGGGGACTGTTGTGGGGTGGGGGGAGGGATAGCATTAGGAGATATACCTAATGCTAAAAGATGAGTTAATGGGTGCAGCACACCAGCATGGCACATGTGTACATATGTAACTAACCTGCACATTGTGCACATGTACCCTAAAACTTAAAGTATAATAATAATAAAACAAAACAAAACAAACAAAAAGAAATAAAAGTCATCCAAAATGGAAAAGAAGTTAAATTGTACCTATTTTCAGATCAGCATGATCTTATGTATAGAAAACCCTAAAGACGCCACCAAAAAACTATTAGAACCAATTAATAAATGAATTCAATAAAGTTGCAGGACACAAAACCGACATGAAGCTATGGGGGAAGAAATTTCTAGAAACAAAAACTAAAATATTTAAAGCAAAGTGAATAAACAAGTTTAATAGCAAATTGGACACAGCTGAAAAGACAATTAATGAATTGGAAAGTTTCTCTGAAGAAATTATGCAGAAGATAATCCAGAGAGTTAGAGGATGAAAATGTGAAAAAGAGAACAAGTGTCATGTCAAATAAAGAAAGTAAAGCATAATCATAGTTGTAAAAGAAAAGAGAATTGAACAGAGTCAACAGGAGAAAAAGAGAAAATATCACAGAGGCATTTAAAAAGACTGTCTCTGAATTTTTTGTCATGATGATAGACATCAATCTACAGATTCAGTATGTCTGACAAATCCTAAGAATTACAAAAGGAAATATAATCTGGTACACCAGAGGACAAAGATATTGATTAACAGTTAGAATTTGATATAGTCAGTATGAGTACTGTAATTTCTAGTGTAAGCAGTAAGTGAATAGAAATATATGACTTTCTAACTACTGGAGGGGAAAAAAGTAGAATGAAAAAAAACTAATTAATCCCTCCCCTTAAAAATAGCAAAAAGGACAAAGAAATTTCAGGACAATTAAAGAGCATAAACTTAGATGGTAGGAGTAAATATTAGTACATTAAATATAAATGAATTAAATATCTATTACCTGCTCACTCTGCCTCCATCCTGTCCTACTCCTGATACTACAATGTATCCAGGAACAGAAAAAGTCGAGCTTTTCTCTTTTACCTCCCCTTCCTTTAGGACTAGGATTTCACCTGCATCTAATCTCCTGCCTTCCCAACTGCACTGCATGGGGCAGTCTTAATGGCAAATAAGGTTCAGACTGAGGAATCAGCTTGCCTATAAAAACACTCAATCAAAAGATCTGTTGAAGATATTATATTCCACCATATATAGTAAATGTTCAGAAAACATTATCTGTTGTTTCTTTATTATTATTTCCTAACAGGCCCCTAGCCCTCAAGTGCACAGCTTGGAGTGGTTGCTATGGTTGTTTCTGTGGCATTTTCCATGTTTAATCATCACATTTTCCCAATGATGTTATAAGCCCTCAAAGGCAAGGACAACAGTAGCACCAACAATAGTAACAATAAACTAATACCGCTGAGCAGTTCTGTAATACGTATGCATACATACCTTCACGCCTGGGTTTTCCTTGCCCTTTCGTCCACCTGACACATATCCTTAAAGAATCAGCGTGTGCTTCACCTGCTCTTAAAACTCTTTTCTAGGCTGACTAGGGGAGGACTTGTCATACTTTATTGTGTTTGCTTATTTACAGATGTCATTTTCCACTATAAACTCCTCAAAGATAGAAACCGTGTCTCATACCTGTGTAAGTCTACTCTGCTCAGAATATCATCTCAAATAAATGAGTGAATTGACTGTATACTTACAATGCTCACAGCAACCTGCAAAGTAATTCATTCTTTCTTAGTTCAGTTTTGCTGAGTTACAAGGCTTAGAAAGTAAATGACTTGCCCAAGGTCACACTCACACTCTATTACCTGCTCACTCTGCCTCCATCCTGTCCTACTCCTGATACGACAATGTATCCAGGAACAGAAAAAGTCGAGCTTTTCTCTTTTACCTCCCCTTCCTTTAGGACTAGGATTTCACCTGCATCTAATCTCCTGCCTTCCCAACTGCACTGCATGGGGCAGTCTTAATGGCAAATAAGGTTCAGACTGAGGAATCAGCTTGCCTATAAAAACACTCAATCAAAAGATCTGTTGAAGATATTATATTCCATCATACATAGTAAATGTTCAGAAAACATTATCTGTTGTTTCTTTATTTTGTTTCTTTGTTCATTTGGTTATTACCAAATTCTCACTCTTCCCACTCTGCCACATTACCTCCTCAAACTGCCTGTGTCTTTACAAAGTCCCCTGAGAGTTTGCTGATTTTTGCTTATTGTGCATCAAATGAAGTTGTTTGACATGTCCTGCATTCTGTAGGTGATGACTTGGCTACCCAGAGAAGTGTCACATTCACCTGAGGTCCCAGAGCTGGCCCCTGGCAAACGGGAAATTTACATCCCAGTCCCAGTTCCCAAGCATTCACTTCGCATCACCACCCTTGTAGGAACCAGTGTATGTACAGGCCCTGGACTGGGTACAGTTATAGAGCTCAGCTCCCGTGATGACTGTGAGCATCTACTGTCAATTCCAGCATTGGATCTTCCAGCAGTGACTCTTCCTAGCTTTCAAGTGGTTTGAGTTTAGCAGGAAAAAAAAAAAAAAAAACACTTAAAATGTGTGCTATGTAGCATTTTTCCCCTTCCTTTGGCATTTAAAATTTTCCATGTATTTAAGCGTAATTCAATATGTGCATAAACACAAATTATCTCATCAAAATGAAGGCAGTAAGATCAGCTGGTTGTTTCCAAGACTTTTTGCCAAAACCTCTCTTTACTCTCTCCAGAGAGCCAGAACTAGGCTGCCTGTTGCATATTTAGCATTCGGGTGACACTTTTCAAACCCAGCATTCATTTTTAATGAATTATTGCACCTATAAGCCTAAACTGAGAGGTTGTGGAACACAGCTCTATTCTAAAAGTAAAAGACAGGTAATAGAGACATAATACATCCAAGTAGTAGGAATCTGTGTTAGTTTGGGAGATACTTTATACGTTATTAGTTTTATAATAATTTTAAAACCTCAAGTAAATAAAAGATTTCTGTAAGATAAAGTTTATCGTTAATATGCCAACTGATCTCAATCCATTCAGTCATTCAAAATTACCAGGTTCTTTGCACATCCAACAATTAAAGGTGAGAAGAACTATATATCTCTTCACCCATTACTGCAATACTAAGAGATACGTGATTTAGACAGCTAGACAGCACACCCCAAACCAAATTCTGCCACACAGAGAAATATTTATTAGCAAACAGGCACAAAGCCATTTCTATGAGTTTAATACAGTACCAGGGTTCAGACATTTCCATGAAATATTAACTCTAAACAAACATAACAGCATTCTAGCAGTAGTCTTCAGCTAACATGCTAATGGGATTAAGTTGCTAGAACCCTCTGTTAGTATGTGGACACAAGACAGATTGGCATACCTGGTTTAGGCATCACTCCAAACAAAGTTTGTAATCCAGGATTACTAGATTCCTAAACCCTATTTATGCAAGGACAGGGGTGTCTTTAAATAGCACTAGCCAAATCACATATCTCCAACACTCCTTAATTTTCCAGTGCAAAATAACTTCTTTTATTTATTAGGCTAATTAGGGAACCTTCTAGAACTCTCTAGAGATAAAGATCATTAAGGCCTTATAGTAGTCCTTCAAACACTACCAACCACTCCTAAAAGATGTGTGTCCAGTTAAAGTATTTTAAATTTTAGCTACAACCTTATAGAGGATTAAGAATACACACACACACACGCACACACACACACACACCTGTCTATACTAGAATATTTAAAAGTAAGTTATAGACAATATAATAGCTAGATAAAACAAAAGAATAAGGTATATGGGTTTTATAAAGACACACAGTATAATGATGGTGTCTCTGGACTCTTCCATAAAACAAAGGCATATTTTTTAAACTTTAGTTTGGTTCTTAATTACACAGAAAATCACAGCTTAGTCCATAATTAAATCCAAAGAAAGTGAGGCCCAGATAAATGGCATGACTTGCTGTAGGTTGTCCTGATAATTAACGGCAGCGTCAAAGCTGACACAAATCTTTAATCTTTTCCATGCTGCTGTGGGGCCCACAGGTAATAGATGTCCACAAATAAAAAAAGGTTTTCTAAATATAAAAATCATCCATAATTCTTTGTAGAAACTGTGAAAAAGAAAATACAAATGTAAATAATAAAATGTTAGTAATAATTCTAGCAGCACTCAGATACAGCCACCATTGGTGTATTTTTCTAGATACTGAGGTCACCTTGTAATTTTGGTTTACAAAATTTACATACTTCATGCGTGGTTTTGTGAACTGCTTTTATTTCATTTGGTTTTATATTGGAATCAATTCACCATGACATTTAATAGCCTTCAAAACAGGATTTTTGTAATGGCTGCGTGTTAGTCCATCATATTAACATTTATTTATACATTCCTCTATTTTGGACGTAACAGATACTATTTCGGAAGATTTGTTTTTTATAATCTCTCTAAGATGAATATTTTTCTCCTAGAATGTAAACACTATAAAGGCAGAGAGTTTGTCTTACTGATCACAATACCCTCAACCCCCCAGAAGTGCCTGACACATAGTTGGAGCTCAACAGGGATGGATGGATGGATGGATGGATGGATGGATGGATGGATGGATGGATGGATGGAAATGTATATTTGTATTTACCTCTGATAATTTCTCAAAAGTCTTCTTAGTTTGAGCACTAACATTGATTCTCTAGTTATGCTTGCTACACAGAATACAGGGCATCTATTTATCTGAAAATATTCATTATCCCATATTGTACTAGAGCCATATCCATTCTTTATCTGACACATCTGAAATTAGTTGTTATTTATCTGAAATTCAAATTTAATTTGATGTACCACATTTTAATTTGAGAAATCAGACAAACCTAGTTCTTAACATACCACCTTCACAAGACAGCCTGGCTAGAATACTCCACTGGTCTCTGAGCAAAAGCCTAATCCCCTTAAAGAGTCTAAGCCCATTAACCTATAGCAGCCAAACTGAGTGCTGTAAACAACCTCTATTTTTGAGCTCCTGATCTTCTCCATTAGTCAAGACAAATTAGAAAAACAATAAGAAAGAGAACAACCCATCATGACAATGGAAGAACCAGGCCATGATCTTTCCAAGCACAAACTGCAGCATTTTAGCATCTTCCCAGCACTGCTTCCCTGTCTATCCCTACCTGTCCTCCCCTGCCTCTGACATTAGTCATCATGATGCCTTCCTGCTTCTCCAAGGGACTCAGGATCTGATCCTTGCCTCCCCATCCAACCACCTGCCTGCCTGCCTGTCTCCCTCTCTGCACTCCAGCCAGCTTGCATGTCTCTTCGTTCCTCCCCTGCACCAGGCTCCTTCTTGCCACAGGATCTTTGCACATGCTCTGGCTTCTGCTTGGAAAGCCTTCTCTGTCTCCTCCTCCCTCCTCCCATTCCTTGGTTAACTCTTAGTCATCCATCATCACAGCTGCAAAGTCACTTCCCTAGGGAAGCTGTCCCTTTTTGCAGGCTGGTCAGCTTCCTCGGATCTAAGCTGTTAAAAGTTCTGTGTATTTTCCCTTCTCTACACTTACCATAGTTGACATTTTATTTTTGCTCTGGGATTATTTGGTTAATGTGCTAGAATCAAAACTCCAGAAGGGCCAGAACACTATGGCTTTTTTTGTTATCACTATGTTCCCAGCACTCAGCAAAAGAAAAATAAAAAACCAGACCCTCATTGTCACCTAATGGTGGTACTGTAATTCTCTCATTCCTTCCAAATGTATCAGCTGAATTTTTCAATAAAGAAGACATTTCCCTTATCAGCTCTTCCGTAACTGTGAGGTACAGTTTATACAAGAAAAGCAGAATAAATGCTTGAATTTTCCCCTTCTATTTACCAGTTTTCAGAATAATCAGAGGTGACAGACTCCTCCAAAGGTAACAAATGAGTTTGGTTTTACCGTTTTGAGTATTATGAATTCATGGATGTATACATGTTGATGTGTTTCAGTCCACTAAAGTCATTATTCTTTGGGATGCTCAAATTGTCTCATTGTTGGCCAGTAGAAGCCTGGGCCCTTTTGCCATGACCTCAGTTGTCTTTAATAGCTGTCCGGCTTGTATGACAAGACATTCTTGGATCCCCTTGTACAGCTCCTGACACCAATCTGGTTCAGCTATTTCTTCAAGAAGGCCTGGTTCCTTGTACATTCTTATTCACCTGTGGTTTCAATTCCCTAGTCTCTAAAAGAAACACTACAAATAGAAATTCTGTTCTGATTTTTCTCCTGTACAGCGGACCTGTATACCTAACAGATGACTGGGCATTGCCATCTCTGCCCACAACACACATCCTGAATTTGACTTGTTTGCACATGAAGTCATCATCCCTCCCCAAGATGGGCTCTCTATTATGCCTTCCTTGGGGATCAGTACTTGGAGTCGGGTCAGGGCAAGATACTGTTAGTGACATGTGGAATTCAGCCACACCATCATGAGAAGGTCCTCTCTGTGTGTTCTGGCTAAACCAGCCTTCTACCAGGTTAGCACGATTCTGGGCTTTGCAACATTCATGACCTGTTTGAGGGCACTGAAGGAGATGCTCAGCCACATCCCTTAATTTGCATGAGCCTGTAGGAAAAATATGTTTAAGAAGTCTGGCTGTCTGAGCAGGCCAAAGGAGAAGATGGAAGAGAAGGTGGTTTCCTGAAAGCATGAAGCTGTATCTGTTCATATTTTGACACCATCCCAGGAAGAAGAGGCTGAGGTAGGAAAGTACAGTCAGCTCTGGGAGTTCCCTCTGGAGAAGCTGGCTATGAGACGTGGAAGAAGCTCCCCAGCTGCAGTAGAAGGCACGAGAAGGTTTCAGGCTTTCCAGGTGGGCGTAGAATGGGCAGCAGCACAGGCATAACCTGGAGTGGCACAGGTGCCAGGGAAGAGGGCAGACGCCATGCGTGACATAGCAAGGGGATCACACCGCATCCATTGTGCATGAGACCACTTTTCACCACCCAGGCGACTCAAGGAGATAACTGGATGGGTGGTTCCAGGAAAAGAATGGACATCCTGCTAGGCCATCATATGCTGTCTCAGAGCACTGAGGTTTGATAAATGTGGTGAATTTGGAGGCACTCACAGCTGAGTCCCAGCACAGAGTGGGCACATAAGCAACACCATTTTCTCATTGCCCAAGCCAGCCCCTGCCCACAGCACCTCCACTTCCCAGAGCCACACCCAATCAATGGCCAACTTATGATTCTAATCTTGAATGTCTGTCGAGATCTTTTCCTTCTCCATCACTAAGCTCTCTCCTTTAAGTAAAAATTTTTCTCCTGGAGGAATGCCTCCTGGCTGATGCTTCTGCAAATCACCTCACTTCTCTTCAAGCCCTCCTCTGTTACAGACTATTCCAAATTTTTTTTTGTTTTTTTGTTTTTTTGTTTTTAACTTTTGCCTACCTTGTCGGCTCACGCCTGTAATCCCAGCACTTTGGGAAGCCGAGGTGGGTGGATCACCTGAGGTCAGGGGCTCTAGACCAGCCTGGCCAACATGGTGAAACCCTAGCTCTACTAAAAATTCAAAAATAAGCCGGGTGTGGTGGTGGGTGCCCGTAATCCCAGCTACTCAGGAGGCTGAGGCAGGAGAATCGCTTGAACCCAGGAGGCGGAGGTTGCAGTGAGCCAAGATCGAGCCACCGCACTCCAGCCTGGGTGACAGAGTGAAACTCCATCTTAAAAAAAAAAAAAAAAAATGCCTACCTAAATCTAACGTAAAACTTTGAGCTCACTCTGAAATATATTCATATTTACTTACAAGGGGAAAATGCCCTATGAACTGAAAATTATGTGTATTTTAGAACATACACAAAAGAGAAGTTAAAAGAAAATGAGAAAAATAAATAGATGTGATAATACTTTATTTCATTACTCCGATTAATAGTCTTACCAAACTCACCCGAAGACTGCCTGCAAAGTTCTTGAAGGAGCTTGGGATTGTAGGTGCTTTTGATGTTTTATTCAGACTGGACTAGATGCTTTAACCCTGAAGGTGCATCTTACGTATCTAAAAAAGACTTCCCTTAGGGCTAAACATAACAGAAAAGTGATGAATGAAGGAATCTGTCCAACATGTCATCTTTGATTGAAGATAAATACATTCATCTTATGGTTCTAGCTCTATTAAATTGAGTCTGTTTAATACACCCTGTCTGCAGCTAAACTAATTATTTCAGGCTGGATTTTCAATTTCTTACCTAGCCCTAGGATAAAACACAGAGTTGAATGGTTACGTAATCACCAGGTGCCGCTCAAGTGGTGATTTTTCAAATCAAGTATGGATCTCAAAGAAGAGAAGCAAATAACAACAGAGATACTTCTTGTGCTAGGGCCCTGGTTGCAGGACGGTGTCCCACCAGGCTACAGCTCTTAAATGGCAGAGCTGCTGCTGACACCTCTGTCGTTCTTGCAAGATCAAATACCAACTGCGTTGACTTCAAATCTGGCTTAAAAATAGGCCTAGCAGGCATAGTTTTCTCATCAAAACAAATTAGCCTAAAAAATAGCATTCCGAGAGACCAAGGGTTAGGAAAATTGTCCTGTGAGTGTTTTGAATTCTTTGTCACCCTTCATAACTGGTGCCGTTCATGAGGGAGCTTATTGGCTTGGGGGATGACAACTTGAACAGCAAAACAGGATGTGTCACCACCAGGCCCCCTGCTCTGCTGCAATCTACGAGAATTAATCAGTTTTGGGTTTTTTTGTTGGTGGTGACGGTGGTTTTTTTCCTTTCTTTCTTCCTTTTTTATGTCAGCGTCTCAGATGGGCACACACTGAAACAGCTTCTTATTTGCATGCGGTGTGGCCTGGCGAGGGTGAACTGAGGACACGCAGAGCTCCCTCTGACTTGGCACCGGCAGGAAGTCGGCGGCAAGAAGCTACCACTTTTCAAGCCTGGGTGGCTTTTTCTTTTTTCTCTGTCATTCATTTTGGAAGAAAGCATAAGTTTGATTTCAAACAGAACACAAAAACTTGGAAGGAGGGCCAAACACAGGCAGGCAGATGATTCTTGTCCCCACTTTTACTTTTTTAAAATTTAATTGGAGATGCTGCAGAGGTGGCAGAAAGGGGCCAGAGGATGGTAGGTGCAGACTCGCTGCGGTGACAATGCCCCGGGCATCCCCTTTCTGCACAGTGGGGCACGGCATCCAGGGGCAGCCTCCTCTCCAGACACCTGGGCAAATCCAAATCTGTGTTTCTTTGTCATTCACCTGAGGAGAAGTCCCTTATTCCAACGACCACTCCCGTGTGAGCGGTGACAGGTTTGAGCAGAATGAGTCAACGCTGAAATGATGCCTGTGCCATTTCACAGGAATTTGCTTCTTTCTCGCTGGTTTTCAGATGCAGTTCGAGGCTTCCGTTTTTTTCTCTGGATTTGAATCTCGTCCACAGATCACTGCTGCCTTGCAGCTGAGTGTGTCATTTGCAGCCCTGCTGTCTGGGGCCCGAGACTCCACACAAGATGTGCTCAGAGAAGCAAATGAACAACTCTGCTCTGATAGGGGCAGCAAAGAGGCAAGCAGCTACCAACAGAAGGACACTGAGTTTCTGGGGGTGGCATCTGGCCAAGGTTCCTGTCATCTCTCTCAGATAAAACACCAAATTCTTCCCCAACAGAAGCAGCAAAAACATATAATATAGGCCAGCGCAGCGGCTCACACCAGTAACTTATGCCTTGGGAGGCTGACGGGGGAGGATCACTTGAGGCCAGGAGTTGGAAACAAGACTGGGCAGTATAGCAATATCCTGTCTCTACAACAAAATTTTAAAAATTAGCTGGGCATGGTGTTGCATGCCTGTAGTCCCAGCTACTTGGAAGGCTGAGGTGGGAGGATCACTTGGGCCCAGGAGGTCAAGGCTGCAGTGAGCCATGATTGCACTACTGCATTCCAGCCTGGGTGACAGCGAGACCCTGTCTCAAAACAAGACAAACAAATAAACAAAAAAAACCATAATGTAGAGTATTTATAAGTTGCCTTATTCCAAGGAACAAAAAATGGTGGGAAACTATGACAGTATAATATGGTATGTGGTAATATTTAGCTATGTCTAAAATGTCACTTTGATGAGCAAGTTTTATCATTTTTATACTCATCCTAAATTATTTGTTTCCAAATCAGAGTGCAATGGCCCTTGGGAACTGGGAAAGAATGTCTTCCCAGACCTGGAGGAAGCTCCAAATGACTGGATCCTAATGATTCTACAGGTTCCTGGCTTTTCCCAGCAGTCCCTGCCCCCTGAGTCACCCTTCCTATAAATATCCCCATCCCACAAGATAATGGTCTTTTCAAATTTCATTAAGTTTTTGTCTCTTACCAAATTGCTCTCTATACTTTTAACAACGTTTCATCACCTGAAGAGCTTTACGGGGTTCGCTAACCCCCTTGCCTCCTCACTAGCTAAATATCTCATCTCAGATATCCCTTGAACTTGTACCTCTGCAAAATTAAAACGACTACATACTATGGAACGTCTTGAAGGTCAACACCAAAATACCACATCCTTTGAAGGGCCAAGAGTACACGCTAACCTATGTCGTAGGACAAATTTATAACCTGGTGATCCAGAAAAGGACCATCCTCTAAGATGGGGGCTAACCTGGCTTTCCCCTGTGTGGTCATAATACCTGGAAAAGACATGATTTGAAAGGTGAATATATTTGAATTGCTACAATAAGCCACAATCTAACAAGGGTCCATTTCTATTGGCCATGGAGCTTCCATTTCATTGGGATTTGCCACTCTGGTGATGTCCTCTTACCCAACTGACCCAAAGACTTTTAACATCACACTTTTTTTTTCTGGGCTTTTAAAGCAAGTTTTTGAGGCCAGAGTAAATCATGATAGGCTGTACAAAAGTCTTTACCTGGAAGCCCATCAAATATATATTTCTATAAGATCTGTTTTTATGTTTGTGCAATCAGCGTGTGTTGGCTGGAATGAATTCTCTATTTGTTTGTCATGTGGAAGGATAACCCATGACAAGCCAGCCTAGCAAAGTGGTTCAGTGTGTTGGGTTCTTTGGAACCACATAGACACTTCCAACCTTATCCTGCATTTAGCTCTTTGACCTTAGGCAAATTACTTTATTATCTTTAGCCTCATTTCTTAATTTGTGGAGTGGAGATAACAAGGCTCATAGGGTTGTTGTGAAGATTATGTATTTAAATTGTGTAGCCGCAGTGCTTGAAACAACCAATAAACAGACGATTGAGAGAGAGAGAGAAGATAGATGGATGGATGGGTGGATGAACAAATGGATGGAAGGATGCATGGATGGATGGGTGGATGGATGGATGGATGGATGGATGGATGGATGGATGGATGCATGGATGGATGGATGGATGGATGGATGGATGGATTAATGGATGGATGAACAGATGGATGGATAAGTAGATAGATGTATGGATGGATGGATGGATGGATGGATGGATGAAAATGGATGGATGGATGGATGGATGGATGGACAGATGGATGGATAAGTAGATAGATGGATGGAGAGATAGACAAATAGATGGATAGGCATCAGCAAAAGAAGAGTTGCTACTTCTGGGATCTGATACTGAATGACTTGAGACAAATCTTGTGATCTGCCAATATCACAGGGTCATATGGAGCAACTTTGCTCAGATATTGGCAGCAAAAGGCCAGCAGGCACAAACAGAAGGACACTGACTTTCTGTGGGTGAGAAAAGGGGAAAAGAGAAAAGAAAAAAGGGGAGTGGGGCTAAACAAATTAAATGATATTTAAGGTCATTTTCAATCCCCTGATTCTGAGAAAACAGGACTCTGAAGTGTTTGAGCACACTGAGAAGGGCATTTTGTTAACGACACTACTGTTTATTTTTGACTGTTTAACTTTCACCACAATACACTCTTTCATGTAGATTCCTCTTTGCCTTTTTTCTCAGTCTAATTCCTTGAATAAGAGTCCTATGTGAAGACCTAGGCTTGACTAAGAAAGCTTGTCTTGCAAGCAGGCTAGTCTGTATTGCCTAGTCTCCTGAATTATCTAGAAATGGCTTTTGTCTGCTATAAGCAGAGACCCAAAGTAAGCATGGCTTAATCACATTATGGGATGACTTTCTTTCACATGGCATGGTCTGAGGAGAGATGACCAGGGAGCATAGGAGGGCTCCACAT
The DNA here is from genome assembly GCF_000001405.40 of Homo sapiens. Lineage (NCBI taxonomy): Eukaryota > Metazoa > Chordata > Mammalia > Primates > Hominidae > Homo > Homo sapiens. Next base: position 6,344,857 of record NC_000010.11, on the reverse strand, counting down.
TGTCAGCAGGAACCAGGTACCCTATATCATTCTGCTCCACCACCTTCGGCTGTGGGATTTTGTTCTCCAGAACTCACCTCATAGGCACAAGATGGCTGCTGGAGCTCCAGTCATTCCACTTCTTTGCAGATACAAAAAAGGAGAAGACAGAAGTACAAAAGGTCACTTTTTCCAGCTGGGTCAGCCACCTTCACAAAGCCTTCCCAGAATCCCATCCAGTGACTTCCACTTACATCTCCTTGGCCACAATTCCAGCAAGGGACACTGAAATATAGGCTTTTAGCTGGGCACGTGTTCACCTTCCTGTGATAGCAACAGTAGGGAAGAATGGATATTGAGGAGGCAAGTAACAGCCTCTGATACAGCTCCTTCCCCGAAAAGCCCTTGTAAAAGGCCGGGTACCCTGTGACAGGTTCTCCACCTTGCTCCATGGGCAGCCTGCATCCCTGCCTACCCCTTTCCACTGTCTTTCCTCCTCCCTGGTTCTTATAAGCAATCCTAGCTCCTCAGAGGCAGCCCTCTAGCGAGGCTCCATCTATAGAGCTTGACTTTAGACTTGGCCAAGCTCTGCTTCACCTAAATAAAGGCATCATCTCAATACTCTCTAAACTCATCCTCCCACTCCCAATGGGAACAAGCACATGGAAACAAACGCAAGGGGAGGGAGAAGGCGGTCTCTATCCTTGCTTCCGGGATGGCATTTCTACCAGTGTCATCACAGTCAAACATGGGTGGCAGTTTCCTTTTCTTAGACCTCCCTCAATGTGTGACATGCCCCATGGCCCTTTCATAACTAGGAGGAAAAGTCCACATCTTGCCAGTGAAGAGGAGGCCACAGCCTCTGCCAGGGGCTCCCTTTCCCCTACCCAGGAGGTCACGATGAGATTGGGGATCGCAAAGCCAATGCTGCTCTTGCCCACAACCCATCAGAGTCCTCTCTTGCAGGCTTTGCTTTGGCATAGGGAGGGTGCCTGCTTATTAAGCATCCAGATGAGCAAACTCTGCCACTGCAGTTCTCCACCCAGCAGCTGGGAGCCTGACAGCAACCAGATGGAACCAGGCTGGGCAGGAATAGGGAGGGGCAATTCCCTACAAGGCTGGCCCAGAAGACATGGCTGCAGAAGACTGCTGGCAAGTCCATAGCTGAAAAAGATCCCATGTCATACTTTGCTGCAGAGTGCTCTCTGCAGAGTCCCCGAATCACATTGTAATAAAGCCAGATGGGTATTGACAGTTCACCTGGCTCAGCTGCCTGCCTCTAGATGTGGCTGCGTGCAGTAGGAAGGCCAGACGTGGGGATATTATTGGAAGCAACACACACATGTGCACACACACAAAATGCACATGCACATACACAAATATGCACACAGATGTGTGCATGCATGTGAACAAATGTGCACACTCACGCATGCACACATATGCATATACACATGTCCTCACCCTGCTTTGAGCCTGCCTACATCCTGGCCTCAGATGCAGGGCTGGGCAGGAAGCAGAGGAGAATCCTCTGCCACAGAAGGCCTGGCACCAGCGTCAGGACCATCAGCCTCCCCACGCTGTGTCTCTGCCCCAGGAGGCAGGAGGCTCTCAGGATGCAGCACCTCTGGATCTACCATGTCCCTCCTACACCTGGCACTCCATCACAAAACTCTAGGTGCCCTGAACCTGGTTCCAGAGACATGCATAGCCCCTGTCCACCCCTCCAACTCCACCTGGCCTCCTCTCCCTACTTCATTTTTTTGGATTTGGGTCCGAAGTCCTTCTCCTTTGCCCTCCAGGCCGTGGTGATGCCAGGCCTAAATTCCTAGGCCTGGAAAGCTTGCCAACAGTCCACAACATCTCAAGGCTCGCTGGTACCTGCAGCAGAGCTCTTTCCCCACCAATTTTTCTGACAGCCCCCAGCAGACATCCACTTCTCACTTGTGCCAGCATAGATTATGGTAACCCCATCCTAATCCAAGTGTGTGGCTGGTAAACTCTCTCCAGCTGAAATACAAAATTTTAGTAGTGTTTACTCTTGGGAAGTTTTTTTTTGTTTTTTTTTTTTTGAGAGTCTTGCTTGGTCACCCAGGTTGGAGCGCAGTAGCACGATCTCGGCTCACTGCAACCTCTGCCTCCCAGGTTCAAGTGATTCTCCTGCCTCAGCCTCCCGAGTAGCTGAGATTACAGGCATCTGCCACCACGCCCGGCTAAGTTTTGTATTTTTCATAAAGTTGGGGTTTCACTATGTTGGCCAGGCTGGTCTCCAACTCCTGACCTCAGTGATCTGCCTGCCTTGGCCTCCCAAAGTGCTGGGATTACAGACATGAGTCACTGTGCCCGGGCGAGGGAAGTTCTTACATATTGAGGAAAATCTCCATTATTCTACAACTAGCTCCTCTCTGCTACCCACTTTGGGGCCAGCTGGAGCATGTCCAGAAAATGCAAACTAATTCTAAGCTCCAAAAGGAGTCTCCTGCAATTAAAAAAGAGAGACCAGGAGAGAGCAAGAAGGAATTTCTCCTTCAACATATGTACATGGTACGGTAACTGACATTTTTATGACCATTATAATAGGAGACTGGCATTGCCTCTTGCCTGAAGATGAGAACGCTTGCTGTGTGGGCGTTTCTTCACTCTCTTGCCTGCGATCAGCAAAGCCTCTGTCAGACTAATTGAAGGAAAAGGAGGATTGCTATGCAAACAAAATAGACGGCATACAGACACAGAGCCTTTGTATTTCAGGTAGACTGCGGACCTTGCTGCTCTATACCTCCTTTCCCTCCTAGCCATCACTGTTTTTCCTTTATGTCTCGCTCTCTCTCATGCTGGGCCTCTCCAAGCAGAGAGGGTTTGATGGAGTTGGTTTAGTAAGATCTGATACTCAATGCCTACTTAGGTTCCAACCTGACCCTGTCTCCTGCCACCAAGGGAGCCAGTCATCTGCATTTTGCAGCTTGGAGAACCAGAGGTCCGTGGGACTAGCAGGCCTGCCCTGTGTACTTCGTTTCCATGCATTTTTATATTATTTTTAATTGACAGATCATAATTGCATTACATTTACGGCATATAATGAGATATTTTGATATATGTACACATTGTGGGGTGATTAAATCAAGCTAATGAACAAATCCCTCACCTCAATTGCTTGACATCTTCTGTGATGATACATTGAGTTATTTTGTTACATATAACTTAGTTATTTTGAAATATGCATCATTGACTGTAGTTACTCTGCTGTGCAATAGATCTCAAAACCTATTTTTCCTGTCGAGCTGAAACATTGTATTCTTTGACCAATAACTCCCCTTTCTTCCCTCTCCCCGAGCCTCTGGTAGCCATCATTCTACCCTCTACTTCTGTGAATTCAAATCGTTTTAAATAGTGAAGCTCCATCTCTACTAAAAATACAAAAAAAAAAATTAGCCGGGCATGGTGATGGGCTCCTGTAATCTCAGCTACTTGGGAGGCTGAGGCAGGAGAATTTTGAACCTGGGAGATGGAGGTTGCAGTGAGCCGAGGTTGCGCCACTGCACTCCAGCCTGGGCAACAGAGCAAGACTCCGTCTCAAAAAAAATTAAAACAAAAAATTGTTTTAAATTCCACATGAAAGTGAGATCATGCATTGCTTGTCTCTCTGTACCCAGTTTATTTCACTTAGCAGTTTTAAATATCTAGCGACTGGCAACTCTCATCCAAGTGCTCATGTCTCTGGTTAAAGAGAAAAGGCTAATTTGCTGGGATTCAAGGCTGACCAGTCAGGCCTGGTGTAGGCTTGTTGCACCTCCTGGCCTGCATTTTTTCCTACTGCCCTTCACCCTCCACCTGAGCAGTCCCCTCTCTCCCTGTGGTTTCCGTGACATTCCCATTCTATCATCTCCCATTTCCTTCCTGGCGCGTCCTGCTGAGCTCCAGACCTGTGTATCCAGCCCCCTATTTAACGCCCACCCTTGGGTCTTTCGTAGTCATCTCAAAGGTGGTGTGTGTCCAACCTGAACACTTGAACCCCCACTGCCCCACCTGCCCGCACCACCAAGTGTGTCCCTCCCCCAGCGATTGCTGCCACACTCTGTGGTGTTTTTATTTTCTCATTGCTGGTGCCAGAACAGGGAGCAGCTATCCCTGGCACCTGGCTCTCCCCCTGTCTCACCACCTCCTCCCATCTGGTTCATCACCCAGCCCAGCATAGCTCACCTCACCTGTGAGCAGGGAACCCACCCACTCCCTTCATCTCTGCTGCTCCATCCTGCCCCAGCCATCCTGGGCTCCTCGTGGGGCTACTGCAAGACCCGGGAGGCTTGTTCCCCCAACACTGGTTTCCCTTCCCACCCTCATCCCCCACTCCCTGCTCCCCATAAAGCACCCATGATGAGCTTTGTTTTAATGTGTTAGAATATACATAACATAAAACTTACCACTTTAACCATATATATAGATAGATAGAGATAGAGATAGAGAGAGATATAGATATAGATATAGATTTTTTTGTTTTTTGAGATGGGTCTTGCTCTGTCACCCAGGCTAAAGTGCAGTAGTGCAGTCTCAGCTCACTGCAACCTTCGCCCCCTGGGTTCAACCGATTCTCCTGTCTCAACCTCTTGAGTAGCTGGGATTACAGGCACGCACCACGACAGCTGGCTAATTTTTGAGTTTTTTGTTTGTTTGTTTGTTTTTTAGTAGAGACAGGGTTTCACCATGTTGGTCAGGTTGGTCCCAAACTCCTGACCTCAAGTGATCTACCCACCTCGGCCTCCCAAAGTGCTGGGATTATGGGCATGAGTCACCGCACCTGGCCCACTTCAACCATATTTAAGTGTGCAGTTTCGTGGCATTAAGTACATTCAAATTGTTGTGCAAACATTCCCACCACCCACCTCCAGAACTTTTACTTCTTCCCAAACTGAAACTCTGTCCCCAGGAAACATAACTCTCCATGCTCCCATCTCCCCCAGCCCCTGGCCACCACCTCTCTACTCTCTGTCTCCTTGAGTTGAATATTCTAGGGACCTCATGGGAGTGGTATCACACAGTATTTGTCCTTTTATGTCTGGCTTATTTCACTCAGCATGTTGTCTTCAAGGTTCATCCACGCTGTAGCATGTGCCAGAATTTCCTTCCCTTTTTAAGGCTGAATAATATTCCATTGTGTGAACAGACCATCCCTTTCCTATCCATTCTCCATCAGTGGACACTGGGGTTACTTCACTTCCACCTTTTGGCTATTATGAATAACACTGTTATGAACGCTAGGGTATAAATATGTTTGAGTCCCTACTTTTTATTCTTTTTGGTATATACCCAGAAGTAGAACTGCTGGATCACACGGTAATTCCATGTTTAATATGTTGAGGAAGCATAAAAAACTTTTAAAAACATTAGTAAGATGATATCTTTCCCCTTTGTAAAGCCCTCCAATGACGTCCCATGGCACATGGTCAGCAGGTGCACAGCCGCTGGGTTCTGCCTGGCCCGTCCTGGCCTCTCCAGCCTTCTCCCCCATCACTCTGCCCCTCTCTTGCCTTATTCCAGCCTCATGGGCCTTCCTCCCACAGCTCAAGGCTCAAAGCTCTTCCCCAAATCACCACTTTCACATATTCTACTCTCCTTCTGGTCTCCGTTTGAATATTACGTTCTCAGGGAAGTCTGGCCTCCTGCCCCAGCCTGAACCCGATGCCCTGATGGAGCCTCATCTCTCGGTTGGTTGGCGTAGGTTCATGCAGGTGGGGCTCACACTCCCATCTCACTACTCCCCTCAGCATCTGGCACATGGAGGGATGAATGGAGAGCTCTGCTATGTTACGGGTTGTTGTTACTGCCGCTGCTGTAGTTTTGGAGCAAGACTAAAGCTTATCATATGCCAGCAAGGCAGGACTTGTCTTCATTAAGTGATGGTGGAGCTTCTCCCATCGGTGCTAGTGCCCTCGTCGAGGGCCACACTGGGCACCCCAGGCTCAGCACATTACATTCGACTGGTGTAGCCTGAGCATGTTATTTAGGCTGCTGTTTGTCTCCTAATATAATGTATTGCTCACACACCTGTTTCTATCACCAGACTTAAAGCTAGTTGTGAGTGGGAAGAACATGTGATTTTTTTTTTAATCTCACTTGTCATTGATACATCTGGAACCATGCCATCGGTAGGTGCATCTTTGAAAGGCGACTGAAATGATTTGGTGGCTTGGTTTGAATACGACTCTCGAAATTTTACCACGTATGAACATATTCTATTTCTAAAAACAGCCTCAAATCAACTTGGCTTCTCAAATGTTAAATAATTGTTGAATCTTTTAAATTGCTATCTAGCCATATTGCAATTAGAGCAAACATAGGATGCATCAGCTCTGCCAACTCATGAGTGGTTTCTATGATTGCATTTCTCCTTAAATTTGTGGATGTTGTATCAGCATTCAGACTGTGTACGTCAGTCATTTAAATGCCTCTATGTGCGTGTATATGAATGTTCATAAGAACTACCATTTACTGAGCTGCTACATCTCTTAAACCTGCAGTGTTAGGCTCTTACACTATGCTAAGGGATTCATATATATATATAATTGCTCCATGTATATTCACATCATATTATTCATATATATCGTTTATATATATGAATATATACATATATAGGGCTTCATATATAGGAATACATGAATATGTATGTATATACATATATAGGAAGATATATATATATAGCCCTTAGCAGAGTATAACAGACCAACACTATGGGTTTATATATGGCATATACATATATATTAATATGTATTCATGTATATAATTTATATATATTAATATGTATTCATATATATAATTTATATATGAATTCATATATATAAATTATATATATGAATACATACATCTTGTAAACCCATATGTTGGTCTGTTATACTCTGCTAAGGGCGATACATATATGTATATATCTTCATATATATAATTTAATCAGTATGCAATTAAACGCTGTAAATATAAGTGTTTTTATCCCAGGTTTATAGAAAGAAAATTTGATTTTTAGAAAGATTGAATAATTCCCTTAAGGCTACACGGCACATAAGTAGTAGCTCTGATTTAAACTCAGGACTATCTGACTTCAAACCCTGTGCTCTGTGTATTTTTCATGGATAATGAGCTGGCTTTATCTTCACTAAAATTCTTGCAAAGCCCATTTCCTTCTTCCCTGCATCCTCGGTGAGAAAGAAAACAACCACATCCTCTGAATGAATCTTATTTCTCAAGGCGGGGACGCATCCCTGAGGGCTGAGATTGCAGTGTAGGGAAAATATCCATTGCTATAAGAGTCAGGACAGGCTGGGCCATACCACAGTAAGAAACAACCTCAAAATCACATGACCCACAACAATAAACAGTTCACATTGGTGTGCATGGCAGGCCAGCTCAGCTTCCGCTCCACACCCGGAACTGAGTGGCAGCCTCTATCGGAAGCATTGCTGATCTTGAGACAGAAAGGAAACAGGAGATGGAGAAAACCCATCAAAAAATGGCTTCATTGGCCAAAGTAAGTCACAACTCACTAGAGTCCATTATAGAATTCTCTTTCCCTGTGGAAGAAGCAAACGATTCTAACCCAGCAGGAACACTCTCGCTCCTTATCTCACAAACCCACAGCACTGTGCTATTCCCAACAGAACACCATGAAAATTACTTTTTTTTTTTAATTTAAAAAGACATTTAATCTAAGAAGTTAGAACTCATATACCTTTCTTTGTTAAGGTATATGAAATGGAGGCCCTTTTAATAAACACAACCATATAAATAGAATAAAATTTTTCAAAATTTTCCGAAATTCAAATACAGAATTTTCTATGTATACATTGTATTTCCTGAGTAACAGGCATTAACTCAAAGATTAGAAATATTTTCAGGTCAGGTGCAGTGACTCCTGACTGTAATCCCAACACTTTGGGACGCCAAGGCAGGGGACCGCTTGAGCCAAGGGAGTTTGAGACCAGCCTGGCCAACATAAGGAGACCTTGTCTCTGCAAAAAAATTAGCCAGGCATGGTGGCACGTATCTATAGTCCTGGTTACTCGCTAGGCTTACATGTCAGGATCACCTCAGTCCAGGAGGTCGAGGCTGCACTCCAGCCTGAACAACAGACACTTCACCCTGTCTCAACAAAAAAAGAAAAGAAAAAGATAAAAAGGCTGGGTGTGGTGGCCTATAATCCTAACACTTTGTGAAGCCAAGGTGGATGGATCTCTTGAGCCCAGGAGTTCAAGACCAGCCTGGGTAACATGACAAAACCCCATCTTTACAAAAAATACAAAAACAAAAAAAAATAGCCTGGCTGCACCTGTGGTCTCAGCTCCTTGGGAGGCTGAAGCAAGAGGATTGCTTGAGCCCAGGAGGTAGAGACTGCAGTGAGCTGTGATTGCACCACTGCACTCCAGCCTGGGTGACAGAGTAAACCCATGAGAGAGAGAGGAGAGGAGAGGAGAGGAGAGGAGAGGAGAGGAGAGGAGAGGAGGAAAGAAAGAAAGAAAGAAAGAAGAGTGAAAGCAAGCAAGCAAGCAAGAAAGAAAGAAAGAAAGAAAGGAGAGAGGGAGGCAAAAAGGGAGGGAGGGGTATTTTCTCCACTGGATCTTGACCCTGAATCCTCACTCGAGCTCTCTGCCAGCATGTGGAGCGCTTTTCTGGCATTGCAGCTTGTTGTTCAGTCTCACTCTTTGGAGTGATTGGTTCAACAGGGCTGCCTCCGCCTGGCTCCTTAGCTGTTTGGTGATCACCCAGCATCTCCTCTACTCATCAGTACTGTCCCCTACAATGAGCTCCTGTTTGTCTGGGAACTTCATTCCATTTTCCTGTAATCTACTCTACTCTGCTTATTCAAATCTCCCATCATTTTCTCATGTGGACTGAGCTTAATTTAAACAGCTTCAGAAACTTTGAGTTTGCCAGCAACACTTTATTTTAGAGGCAAATTTTCCATATTTTATACCCTATTATGCACAATATGAGCAAGATCTGCAGAAATCCCCTAAGTAATTACTATTGCTACCATGACAGCAACAAGCCAGGCCACATCTGGACCGTGTGCAAAGTTTGCAAGTGCCGTGGAAGTGGCAGTTGCCAATTTCTGACAGGGGCATGAGTTTCCATTGAGTGTCCAATGCTCCTAGACCTGTCCATCATGCATGGGGGTGATTGCGATATCCCTTCCATCCAGTGCTCAGGTGGAATGGGCTTCCTCGGGACATAGGATACCTGCTCACCATGTTTGGTCATCAGTAGCTGGATATGAATCCCATCTTTGCCAGAGACTGGCTTGGGCAAATTATTTAACCACACCCTTTTTCAGTTTCAGCATCTATGAAAAAAAGGCACTAAAACTTATGGGCTGGGCGCGATGGCTCACGCCTGTAATCCCAGCACTTTGGGAGGCAGAGGTGGGCAGATCATGAGGTCAGGAGTTCGACACCAGCCTGGCCAATATGGTGAAACTCTGTCACTATTGAAAATACAAAAAAATTAGCCGAGCATAGTGGTGGGTGCCTGTAATCCCAGCTACTTGGGAGGCTGAGGCAGTAGAATCACTTGAAACTGGAAGGCAGAGGTTGAAGTGAGCCAAGATCGTGCCACTGCACTCCAGCCTGGGTGAAAGAGCGAAACTCTGTCAAAAAAAAAAAAAAAAAAACCAACACTTACTTCATAAGGTTGCTGTAAATATCAACATTTAAACAAGATTCTGGATAACTCCACTGGTAGACCACGTGACTTGTAACTGACCAATAAATGCAAATGACATGGGAGCAGAGTCTCTGTTTTGTTCCCTGCTAGGTCCCAGGAGAAGGGCAATACCTGGTCAGTATTTGTTGAGTGAAGATGTGAACAAGCTTGCGACCTAGGACCCAGGTGTTTAGCTGGTTGCTCGCTTTTCTTCCTGGTCAAATGGTTCCAGGGCAGGGGCTGTGTCTACCTGGCTTACCTCTGTATTCCCAGCACCTATTCCACTGCCTGGCACGGACAATGCTCTCAATAAATATTTGTCCAATAAATGAATTAACAAAGACAACATGCATAGCACATTTCCTTTCAGTAACAAGTACATGATGAATGTCAGCTGTATATCTGATAGGAGCTCCTGAGACCAAATGAGCCTACTTGAGACCTGATATTCCATAGATGTGAATATTACAGATTTCTTCATGTGCTGTGTCCTGTATCCTGCAGCAGCTGTAAGTGTCTTATTGGATACTCCTCCAGACTGATGCTCAGAGAGCATCTACAGCGGAACTGCCCAATATGGTAGCCACTGGCGACATGCGGCTATTTCAATTTACATTAACTAAAATTAAACAACATTTTAAAATTATGTTCCTCAGTTGCACTGGTCCCATTTCAAGTGCCAATAACCACATGTGGTTAGCAACTATCATTTCAGACAGTGCAAATATAGATACAAAATTCGCTACTACATAGAGATTCATTTTTATGGAAAAAGGGATACTACCATGGTGTCCTCTGATACTTCTTGAGCCTGTAAGCACCTATCCAAGGTGCTTCACAAACATCTCAAAATACATCTGGGAAGAAGAGGGGGAGGGTTAACCTTATGTATCAACTTGATTGGACCACAGATGCTCAGATATTTGGTCAAACATTATCCTGGGTGTCTCTGTGGGGGTGTTTCTGGGTGAGATTAACATTTGACTTGGTGGATTGAGTAAAACATCTAATCAATGTGGGTGGGCCGCATCTAATCAGTTGAGGGTCTGAAGAGAACAAAAAGGCTGAGTAAAGGAGAATCTGTTGTCCCTCACCTGTCTTCAAGCTGGGACACTTGTCTTCTTCTACCTTAGGACATGGACTCAGACTGAAATTATACCATCGGCTCTCCTGAGTCTCCAGCTCACTGATTGCAGATTTTGGGGTTTCTCAGTCTCCATGATCACAGGAGCCAATTCTTTATAATAAGCCTCTCTCTAGATATATCTTTTCACACAACACAAATATAGATGAAAAATTCTTTCTCTCTCTTTCTGTTTCTGTCTCTTTATATGTATTATATGGTTTGGCTGTGTCCCCACCCAAATCTCATCTTGAACTGTAGCTCCCACAATTCCCACATGTTGTGGGAGGGACACAGTGGGAGGTAATTGAATCACGGGGGCAAATCTTTCCCATGCGATTATCGTCATACTGTCACAAGATCTGATGGTTTTATAAAGGGGAGTTTCCCTGCACAAGCTCTCTTCTCTTGTCTGCCACCATGTGAGATGTGCCTTCCACCTTCCGCCATGATTGTGAGACCTCCCCAGCCATGTGGAACTGTGAGTCCATTAGGCCTCTTTCTTCTGTAAGTTCCCGGGTCTTGGGTATATCTTTATCAGCAGCATGAAAACGGACTAATACAATGTAGAATCTCTTACTGGTTCTCTTTTTCTGGAAAACTCTGACTCACACAAAGAGACCAGAAAATCTTCCTTCTGTACAGATGGCAAAGCTCTGATTGAAAGAAATAAGCCTTTTCTTGGGTCTGACCACAAGCAGAGTTTCTGGATTCCAGACTGGAATTCCCAGCTTGCCCGGAGCCCACAGCAGTGCAGAGGGACTGCCGTGCTCCATGAAGTTGCCAGCATCCCCCTCCACCCCAGCCCAAGGCAGCATGGACCAGTTGGGCTTTGATGCCTGTGGTTGCTTCCCTTAACCAGGCTCCAGGGATCTAACAGACGCCTGACCTCGCCACATGAAGTTCAAGGAAGGGAGCATCTGTCTTCCAAGGAGCTGCTGCATTCATGAGGCATTGTGCTCTCAAGTGGTCTGCCTCCTGGTAGGGGATTTTCAAGGACAAGGTCAGAGATTAATCTCCGCTGGCTTCATCTGCACCAGCCAAAATAGTCTTGATCATAATAACAACAAAAATGAAAAGAGCCAAATAACACGGGCAAGGACCAAACTTTCCATGCCTTAAGCCCAAAATCTGTTCAAGACCAAGGAATCAAACGAGGTCAAGAAAATTATTTTGTTCAGCTGAGGTGGCTCCACATGACTTTCTGCTTCACTTCTAAGCAGAGATGCACAGTAAATTGCTTGCCCACTCTTACCACGCTGGTTCTACATGATGCTAGCCTGCAGGTAAATAGGCTCAGCATGATACACCTGGCTTTGTCATTTACAATCTAGAATGAGTAACTCATCATCTTTGACCCTCGGGATCCTGATTTGTAAAAGAATTGTGAAAATATCTAACACATGCAATAACTGTAAAAATTGCAAACATTTCCGAGAGATCTTGCGTATGGGAGTTTCTCAACCTCAACATTATCGACATTTAGACGGGATAATAGTTTGTTGTCAGAGGCTGTCCTGTGCATTGTCGGATGTTTAGCAGCCTCCCTGGCCTCTACCCACTAGATGCCAGTAACACTCTCCCCAGCTGGGACAACCAAAAATGTCTCCCAACATTGCCAAATGTCCCCTGGGGGAGGGAGTTGCCCCTGGTGGAGAACCAGTGCTTATATATAAAGACATTTTGTAAAGTCAAAAAGCATTACCCAAATGTTCATAATTATTAACATGCAATAATTTTAAAGCAATCTCAGAGTTCCTTCCAAATATTGATTGGTTATATCATATTATTTGCAAGAGAACAGTGGCACTGAAAATGTAAAAGCCATTAGGATTCTCTACAAATGGTTAGTGATTGTTGCATTGCAGAATTGAAGCCCTGATCATTTGTGTTTCTTGGTTGTTTTGTTTTGTTTTGTTTTGAGATGCAGTCTCGCTCTGTCACCCAGGCTGGAGTGCAGTGGCTTGATCTCGGCTCACCACAACCACTGCCTCCCGGGCTCAAGCAATTCTCCTAACTCAGCCTCCTCAGTAGCTGGGGTTACAGGTGCACACCACCACACCTGGCTAATTTTTGTATTTTTAGTAGAGATGGGGTTTCACCATGTTGGCCACGCTGGTCTCGAACTCCTGACCTCAAGTGATCCACCCGCCTCAACTGCCCAAAGTGCTGGGATTACAGGCATTAGCCACTGCATCCAGCCAATCATTCGTGTTTCTAACAAAGCGAAAGCAAACATCAACCTTTGATAGAGAAGGCAGTCAAGTGATCCAGGCATCTGAGCAGCAGGGAAGAGCCAGCAACCACGTGTATCCCTCTCTCTTTCATCTTTGATTCTGTAAGCCACTGGGATGTGTTCCCATGAAGTACTGGGACATTTCTTCACCTTCATATTCTTAGCATCTGTCTTAATCAATGTAGGCTGCTATAACAAAATTATATTACATGGGGTGGCTTAAACAACAGACACTTACTTCTTACAGTACTGAGGCTGGGAAGCCCAAGATCGAGGTGCTGGCAGATCCCACACCTGGTGAGGACTCATCCCCATTTGCAGAAGGCCACCTTCTTGCCGTCCTCACATGGCGGAGAGGAGACAGAAAGAGATCATCTCTCCTGTGTCTCTTCTTGTAAGGGCTCTCTCTCACCCTGTCATGAGGCTCCATCCTCACGACCTCAGACCTGCCCGAGTCCCCACCTCCCAATACCATCACACTGAGGGTGTGACTTCAACATACAAATTTTGGGGGACACAAACATTCAGTCCCTACCAGCATCTGACGCCGTGCCTGACACATGAGAGGGGCTTCATATGTGAAGTTCGCGTTGAACAATAGTTCTCAACCGTGCTGGCGTACTGAAGTTACCTGTTTAAAAATTATCAGCTTATATGATCACACCACTGCACCCCACCCTGGGTGACAGAGACTCTCTCTCTCTCTCTCTCTCTCCCCCTCCCTCCCTCCCTCCCTCCCCCTCCCCCTCCCCCTCCCCCTCCCTCTCTCTCTCTCTCTCTCTCTCTCTCTCTGTAGATATATATAGCAGCCTCCCTGGCCTTTACCCATTTGATGCCCACTGTGGTCGTTCCCATTAACCAGGCTCCAGGGGTCCAACAGGCGCCTGACCTGTTCACACGAAGTTCAGGAAACAGAAGATCTTACATAGATATAAAATTATCAGCTTAAAAAAAGTCCTAATCCATCGACCCTATCCCGAGGGATTCTGCTCTGGGGCACAGTCTGGACATTTTAAGCTCCTCTAACGACTCTAACATGCGGTCAAGGTTGAGAACCACTGACATAGAAAGAACACCTCGGCCGGGCGCGGTGGCTCACGCCTGTTATCCCAGCACTTCGGGAGGCCGAGGCGGGCAGGTCACGAGGTCAGGAGATGGAGGCCATTCTGGCTAACACGGTGAAACTCCGTCTCTACTTAAAAAAAAAAAAAAAAAAAAAAAAAATTAGCCGGGCTTGGTGGCCGGCGCCTGTAGTCCCAGCTACTCCGGAGGCTGAGGCGGGAGAATGGCGCGAACCCGGGAGGCGGAGCTTGCAGTGAGCCGAGATCGCGCCACTGCCCTCCAGCCTGGGCGACAGAGCGAGACTCCGTCTCAAAAAAAAGAAAGAACACCTCAAAGCCTCCTGCTCTCCAGTGCACAGAGGGTCACGTTCCGCAGGGCTCCCGCCTGAGCAGCTGCTCCCTCCACCCGTGCTCCCGCCGCCCACGCTGCCCTCCAGCACGTCCCACCCATCATAGCAGGGTACGCGCAGCCTCCACACACACGTTCCTCCGGTCTGTTTTCAATTCTCCCAAGTGCATTTCTGCATCATTAACTTTCTCCCAAGAGTCAAAGGCCACTCACCCTCAAATCAAATGTAGGTTCCAGAACCTGGAGAAGTTCTGGAGCCTGTCTATAAAAAGTTAGGTGATTCAACCTGAGCAACATGATGAAACCCCATCGCTACAAAAAAATACAAAAATTAGCTGGGCGTGGTGGGCTCGCCTGTAGTCCCAGCTACTGGGAAGGCTGAACGGGGAGGATCCCTTGAGCCCAGGGGGTCCAGGCTGCCGTCAACAGTGATTGCACACCATTGCACTATAGCCTGGGTGACAGAGCGAGACCTTGTCTCAAAAAAAAAAAAAAAAAGAAGAAGAAGAAAAGATTAGGTGATGGGAAGGAAAAAGGAAGACTGAGGTGCTGGAAATGAGAGTGATAAAGGAGTCTCAACTCAAAGGTTTAGAAAAAGGCAAAATTATCCAATTAACTCACAAGGGTTTCAATAGTTGTTGCGCAGTGCTCAGGCCTGTTAATCCCAGCACTTTGGGAAGCTGAGGAGGGTGGATCTCTTGAGCCCAAAAGTTTGAGACCAACCTGCCAACATGGCAAAATCCCGTCTCTAAAAGAAATGTTTTTAAGAAATAGTTGTTAACAATGCCATGTGCAGCTCTGAAGAACACAGCTTTGGGAAAATGTCAGTAATATCACTGAAAGGGAATGTTGGGCTTCAAGAGCTTCTCGCATTCTGGAAGCACACCAGTGGTCAGCTTTCTTCTCCACCGGGTGGTAGAGATGTCTTTAACTCTCTGGAGGTTGGCGAGGGAGGAATCCCTTACATTGAGCTGGTGAGCAAGGCCATGCTCGAGCTGAAGCCTCTGGAGTCTTCAGACCTCACCAAAGTCGTGGTTTATGGCTACTATTTGTACAAGCTCCAGACCAAGTGGATGCTCCAGTCCGTGGCTGAGTGGCACCGCCAGCGCCAGGAGTGAGGGATGCTCAAACTTGCAGAGGCATGAATCCCCTCGAAGTAGGCCCTTGGATGAAGCCAACCAGCTTCCAGCCAATGCGATGAAGGCCAGGATGTAGAGATTACATTGTGCCCAGAGCTAGAGGGATTCCTCTAGTTTGGTTTAAACTCTGCTCCAGCCTGATAAGTTAAGGGAAAACCACCTGTTTAGGGGTCTCTGACCTTGCTCTGAGTCTTGCTGTAAATATCTCTTTCATGGTTGCCAGTAAAATAAAGTTAAAAAAAAAAAAAAGAAAGAAAATTGCAGAAGAGAAAGCAGAAGAAACCAGAGAGTTGAGCTCCCGAGTTTTGATTCCGTTGTGAGTCAATGTGCAGGAACCTGAGGAGCTGGGACACTGCTAATCTTAGACCTGGCTCAGTCCTACCCCGTGGGCAGCAGCTGTTGCAGGAACATGGACACAGGCTGGCACCAGCGTGTTTGGGTGCTGATTTGGGGCATATTTCTTTTCTAGTTGATTTGTCGTGGCATTAGGGAGCCCAGATGAGGACAACTATCAACTCTGAGGCCCTTAAAGAACAAGTTGGAAGTGAAACTGAGCTCTTCCTGGTTTCTTATTTGCTACTCTGGAGAAAAGAGGTGATTAATACTTATGCTATTGGGTCTTTGAATGCTCTCAGCACCTATAGGTTATTAACTGAGACTCTCAAACTTCAGATTATTTCACAATCAGTGGCTAATAACCTGAGCAGATGCATTCACTTATAATTTTTACATATGTACATGCAAGGCTTGCAACTATGAGTGCCCTCCAACAATGGAACAGATGCAAAATAGAAATCATGTTATCAGATGACGCCATAGTTGTCTCGCAATTGCTTTGCGGAAGGATTTTTCATGGGAATTTTTCCATCTCTTTATACTTTTCACACATAGGTTGTTGGCTTTAGCCAAGTGCGACGGAGAAGGACAGGCATGTGTGAAGAGGCCTGCCCAAATGTTACCCGGTGCGGAGGCCTTTGTTTAGCCCATTGGCAAGAGAAACACCAGCACCACATTCTTGGTGAAAAGCCTCTTTCACAGAGAGAGTGCATTCAAGGAGAAAATCAGCCTTGAATTGCCATTTCTGAGGCAGAGCTTGAAAGACAGATGGAAGGAGTAGGTTCCATGGGAAAGGAAAGGAGGAAAGAAAGGGGATGGCCTCACTTGCCAAAGTAAAGCTGGCTGTGGCTGAGAGCTCTTTCAAAACTGCCAGGAACCTTGGGAGCCGTACACTTCTCTCTCCCGGGAGGAGACCCAGGGCCAAGTGACACTGCGGTAACTGGAAATCCCTTCTCCAAGGCCAGAGCCCTGTGCAGAAAGCATGGGAAGACTTCAACAAAGCCCTCTCTTCTTCAGGGAAGTAACTGTGGAATCGGGAAAAGACAGAAAATTCCTGAGTAGAGGAGTTCTTAACTTAGACTCCATAGGCTAGTCTAGAGGGTCATGAATAAGCTCTAGGAGGTCTGTGCACAACCTGAATTTATGCAGAAGCTGAGTTTGGGTTCAGTTCAGAAGAAGGGTTCTATGCCCAATTGGTCATGTTTGGAGGACATGTTCATTTCCCAACCATTGTCCTGCCTGCATTTTCTATTCTTGACCAATGTAGATGTAGTTGGCCTCACCATGTTCCTTTTTGAGATACGTAATTTTTCTTGATGTTCTGAAGCACTGGTTGGTATATATTAAAAGTAGATGTTGTAAACGGACATATTTTCCAAATATCTTTTTGTTAAAATCCACATGAAACATTGTCTTTGGGCAATGGAATGGCCAAACCACCTTTTTGGACAGGACACGTTGTATTTGTGTTCTGGTCTAGGGAAGAGCAGAAAGGAGCAAATGCCCATGGGCTCCCTGTGGTGAGGCCGGATTAACCAGTGTCTCACAGGGCTGCGTTTTGTCTCACTTTGCTGTGCGTGTAGTGTATATGATCAGCAAACAAGTCCTAATTTTATAGCACCTACTCTTTCTATATGTTACAGAGGTTGCCAGCGTTTGACCAAAGTCCAGTTAGTAAGCAATTTTGTAAGTTTTGTGTTAAAATTCATAGGAAAGACTGTCTTCCAAAAATGACTTGTGGATATCGTGAACATCACCTCTAAGCATTGCACATGCGTAGATTTGCCCAGGGGGTTGATAGATGTGAGAAGGGGAAGGGTTCTAGGCCAGCATGTTCCTATGTAGAAGATGCTTTCAGGACACAGCCTTTGTTGCATGTGTGCAGTTAATGCGGATGAACTTCTTCCATCATCTCTGAATCATGTAGCGTAAGTATTTAGAAGTGCACATATATGTTAAAAGTAGATAATGTAAAATAATACACTTTCAATTTTTCTGCTAACTTACAGGTATGATTATCTTTTTAGAGTGGTGTTAAATTTGATCTCTTGGAGGAGAGGGGTGCAGAGGGAAGTTTAGACAATTTCAGCCTGTCTGACCATGGTTCTGTCTGTGTATTTTCATTAATTTTGGTGTCTAGTAAGGAATAAACAAGTCCTGAGTGCCCGAAGTGTGTTAAAAGCAGAGGTAGCAAAACAACCCCTTTATAAATGTGGGTTGTTTTATTACCTCTGCTTTTAACACACTTTAGGCATTTTTGTTTTGCCAGTTTATAGGAAGGACTGTCTTCTGGGAGCGACCTCTGTCAACCCACCTCTTGGATGGAGCCAGAAACGTTTTCACACTTCCTCGTCGGGGCAACGGAGCAGGGAGGAGAGTCACGGTGGAGCTCCTTACTGGTAACTCCATATCTAGAAGACAATTTGGGGTTATCAGCACAGTTCCAAATGTGCAGTTTTTAGTAAGTGCTTGTGTTTATTATAGACCACGTTCATTCTTTTCTATTTTTATTTTAAGTTCTGGGGTACATGTGCAGGATGTGCAGGTTTGCTACATAGGTAAACGTGTGCCATGGTGGTTTGCTGCTCCTATCAACCCGTCACGTAGGTATTAAACCCAGCATACATTAGGTCTTTTCCCTAATGCTTTACCACCACCACCACCCACACTCCCCTGACAGACCCCAGTGTGTGATGTTCCCCTCCCTGTGTCCACGGGTTCTCATTTTTCAGCTCCCACTTATGAGTGAGAACATGCAGTGTTTGGTTTTCTGCAGGCGTTAGTTTGCTGAGCATAAGGGCTTCTAGCTCCACCCATGTCCTTGCAAAGGTAGACCATGTTCATTCTTTATTTCACAACATCGTTGGTTTTTCAGATGTCTTGAGATGACAATGTATGATAAAAGGTAGAGCTAGTGAATTGGCCCATTTGTAAATGTTTTTATTATAATTAACACAAAAGAAGCCTCTTGAACGTGGTATTATGAAGCCACCTCTGAGCAGTGCACCCCAGGACTCATTAATTGGGTCAGCAACAGAGCGGCAGAAGGAGCATGAGGAAGGAACTATACAGACACATTGCTATTTCCATCTTGATGATAACCATTGATGTACGTGTGTATCTCTTTGGGGGTTACTATAAGAATACACTGCTAAATAACTCAGTGGACACATACCTTCTTGCTAACATTTTACTAGGACAGCTCTGATCATTCTCTTAGAAGGATTATATCCCATTGCTTTATACCCTATTTTAAATTGAGCATTAACGGAACACAGTATTTTAATTGTAACTCTGCCAACATCTTTATTCAGAGGACTGTTGCCATTTTTGTCTTTCAGGAAATTTTTGTCTCCATGAAAGGCAAAATTACATTTTTTTTCCTGATTGAAATGGTGTAGTGTATTCTTGGTTATCAAAATACTCTTGGCTTTGGGACTTTAAATTGATAAATATTCATTGTGTGTGAAAATATGATACATATTGTGTGATCTCAACAACATAACAATATGCATTCAATTATGTGTGTATACACACACAAGGACTTAGAAGAGCAAGGTCACATGTAATCTGCTTGTGATTACAGGTGACTTCTGAGTTCTGTCTTCCACGTGCTCTTCATTTTCAATAAGCACATGTTATTAACTTTGAAAGTTTGAGTGCTTACATTTTATTTTTAAAAATTGTATGCCAGGCTGGGCGCAGTGGTTCACACCTGTAATCTCAGCACTTTGGGAGGCCAAGGGAGACAGATTGCTTGGGTCCAGGAGTTTGAGACCAGCCTGGGCAACATAGCAAAATCCCGTCTTTACTAAAAATACAAAAAATTAGCAGTTGTGGTGGCCGGCGCCTGTAACCCCAGCTACTCGGGAGGCTGAGGTGGGAGAATCACCTGAGCCTGGGAGGCGAAGGCTATAGTGAGTCAAGATTGCACCACTGCACTCCAGCCTGGGTGTCAGAGGGAGATCCTGTTTCAATTTAAAAAAATTATATGCCAACACTTGTATGCATCTGTATATACCTATGTATGTATTTATGGGAAGAGGTAATAGCTTTATAAACAAAACTCGAAGAAGTTGTGAGCCCTAAGTTAAGATCCACTGCTCTACTTCCAATGCTCTCTTCTTTTTTTTTTTCCTTTAAATTGTGGTAAAATATATATAACATAAAATTTGGCATTTAACCATTTTTAAGTCTATAGTTCAGAGGCATTAAATACACATTAACAGCTGGGCGCAGTGGCTCATGCCTGTAACCCTAACACTTCTGGAGGCCGAGGTGGGTGGATCATTTGAGGTCGGGAGTTCGAGACCAGCCTGGCCAACATGGCAAAACCCCGTGTCCACTAAAAATACAAAAAGTATTAGCTGGTCGTGGTGGCGGGTGCCTGTAATCCCAGCTACTCAGGAGGCTGAGGCAGGCAAACCACCCAAACCCGGGAGGCAGAGGTTGCAGTGAGCCGAGATCACGCCACTGCACTCCAGCCTGAGCGACAGAGCAAGACACAGTCTCAAAACAAAACAAAACACATTAACTTTGTTGTGCAACCATCAACACCATCCATCTCCAAAACTCTTTTCCTGTTGTAAAACTGAAAGTCTATACCCACTACAGAATTTCACCGTAAGTATTAACCCCCTATTACTCCCCAGCTTGGCCCTGGTAACCACCATACTACCTTCTGTCTCTATGAATTTGACTACTCTGGGAATCTAATGTAAATAGAATCATATGGTGTCTGTCGTTTGTATCTAGCTTATTCCACTCAGCGTCATGTCATCAAGGTTCGTCCATGTTGTAGCATGTGTCAGAATTTCATTCTTAGTTAAAGCTGAATAATATTCCATTGTATGGGCAGACCACATTTTGTTTATCCCTTTGTCTATCCATGGACACTGGGTTGTTTCCACCTTTTGGCTATTATGAATAACACATCTATAAATGTGGGTGTACAAGTGCCTTGGGTTGTTTCTACCTTTTGGCTCTTGTGATTAATGCTGCTATGAACACTGGTGTTCATGTCCCTGCTCTCAATACTTTGGGGTATATGCCCAGAAGTAGAATGGCGGAATCACGCGGTAGTCCTCTGTTTCATTTTTAAGGAACCACCATCCCATTTTCCACAGAAGCTGCAGCATCTCACCTTCCTACCAGCAATGCACATGGGTTTCGATTTCTCTACATCTCGGCCAATACATGCTCTTTTCTGGTTTTTTGATAACAGTCATTGGCTTCGGTGTGAAGTGATACTGATGGTCTTTTCATCGTATTGGAGAGGCACGGAGTGAACAATTCTGACCTGAAATCCTCATCTCTCCAAGTGTGCCAGTTGAAGTAAATTTCTCAATCTGTATGTGAAAATTTTTTTCCTCTTCACTAAAGTAGAAAAGTTAAATTATTTATATAGTCAATACATGTGGAGTGCAAAACACAGAGCTAAGCGCTGCAGGGTAAGAAGTGAGAAAGGGGCATGAGGCTGGACAGGATATGAGAACCCTACTTTCAAAGGAGTTCAGAACCTGCCAAAGACACTAGCCTGTGAGCAGAGTGAGGTGAGGCATCCCTCTCTTTCTGCCTATGGACATTGAAACTCTTCCTTCTCGAGGCTTCGGCCTCAGATGGGAGTTACAACATCAGCTTTCCTGGTTCCCAGACTTTTGTACTTGAACTGAATGTCACCACTGGCTTTGCTGATTCTCCAGTTTGCAGACAACAGATCTTTAGACTTCTCGGCCTCCATAATTGCATAAACCAATTCCCATAGTAAATCTCTGATATATCTATGGATATAGATACAGATATATCCAATGGGTTCTGCTTCTCTGGAGAACTCTAATACCTGAGCATATCCTGTGTGAGGCTTCGAAGGCCTCCGAGGTCATGATGAATGATCCACAGAGGGATTCACATTCACTCATCTGTTTCACTCAACAGGCACCTGTTAAGTACTGACAATGTAACAGATGGTCTTAGGTCCTGGGGATGCAACAGTGAACCTGACTCACCAGGGTCTGTCCCCATGGAACTTACATTCTAATGGCAAAGACTGACAATAAACAAGTAAATAAAATAACTAGGATTATGAGAGGTTTCATTCAATGGGAAAAAAGAGTCACGACAGAGAATAATGAGTCAGACACACATTAGAGGAGGTGGACAGCAAGGCATCTTTCAGACGACACTCAAGCTGAGTTTCAAGAGATGAGAAATTTCTGCTGTGAGAAGAGACCAAAGAAGACTAATCCAGGTGAAAGGAAAGTCCATTAAAGACCTTGAGGTTCAAAGAGTTCAACATATTCTAAGATCTGAAAAGGACATCAGTGTTACTGGAGCATCACGAGCAAGGGAGGATGGGAGCCAGTGTGGCTAATGAGGGAGGTAAGGGAAGATTGCACTGGAATTTGAGGCATGGTGGGAAGCCATTGACAAGTTTTAAGCAAGGAAGTGAGATAATGTGATTGACATTGTTCAAAGATCATTCAGGCTACTGGGTGAAGTGTGGACTACAGTGGTCAAGAGTGGCCACAGGGAAGCCATTTAGGACTCTATTATCATGAGCCAGGTGAGATGATGATGGACTGTCCTGGGGATGGTGACAGAGGTGAAAAGTGGTAGATGGATTTGAGATATGGCTCTTTTGAAGGTGGAATCCATGGAGGTCGCCGAATGCCGAATGTGTAAAGGAAAAAGACTGGTGAGGAAAATGGAGACATTGAGGGTCTGGGGCTGTAGTAAGGGGGTAGACGGTGACAAGGTCGAGCTACAGAAACAGAGAACACTGGAAGAGAAATTTTAGATGAAGCAGAAAGGGAGATTTGAAATTCACATGGGATATGTTCCGTTTGAGTCGCCTGTGAGTCAGCAACTGAATATGTCAACAGACAATTTACCAGACTAACACCCAGGGGAAAGCGCTGGATTAAAGAGAGACATTTAGAAGTCACAGTTACATGGATGGTGTTTCATGGAAATGAATAGAGGTGGAAAGAGCAGAACGAATGGGAGAGAAGAAAAGAGGTCTTGAGCGGAAGCCCTGGGAATGTCTGTTTAGAAACCAGGAAGTGGAGGCGGAATCGGCAAAGGAGAAGGAGCAGCCAGTAATGAGGCCATCTTGGATGCTAGGATGCCTACAGGGTTGCACTGCAGAATTTCTACATAGAGTTGAGCCATCAGTCAGGTTTGCAATTCATTGTGAAGCCAGTTAGTGTGAGCTTCTCAAACAGTATTCAGCAGTTCAGTCCAATCACAAAGAAAGTAGATCATTGGGTTCAACCAGGGTTGGGTGAGTGAGTGATTTTTGCTGGGTGAGTGCAAAGGAGAGTAGGAAGTTAGCAAGAAGGAGGGAAGGTAGTAGCCAGGACACAGGGCATTTAAAATCAAGATTCCAAAAGAGATGCAGTTTCTGCTGATGACAAGACACAGAATAAGATGATGAGGGTCAATGGCTGGGGTTTAGGGAAGGAAAGGATCACACTGGAGGGGGAAGTTTAAAAAGTAAACAAAGGAAAAAACTGAGAAGCAGAATGTTGGGTCACATATTTCTTTTTTGTTTGATTGTTTACTGAATTAGAATGAAATTAGAAGAAAGGATACAAAGAAAAACTGAGAACTTAAAAAAACAACAGAGAATGGGCATGACAAGGAACTTACTAGGTGACGAGGACACAGCTGAGGGAGGAATAAAGGCATCAGTTTCAAAGGAGCATGGGGTTTTGCAAAACAAAAAGTTTCGGAATCAGCAGTTGGGAGGAGAGAGGACACACACCCTACTTCTACTTCCTGGGAAATGAGAAGAAGGAAAATATTTGTCCCACAGAGACCACCAGGCCCAGAGGGAAGGCTTTGAGAAGATGGATAAAGGTCAACTTTACATTTAAATTGTACAGAATGACTTCTGTTCTATTCCTCCCTTATGAGTTGGAGAACTGATGTCCACTGCAGGGTAAAAAGGCATCCTATTTCCATGGACAGTGGTTGGTTCAGAAATGGACACAGAACCCAACGCTCACCATTTAGAACTGGGCAGAAATTCACTGGAGGCCTTCAGCAAGGTGATTTCCCACTCTGAAGGCCATGGAAAGCCAGCCTCTCTCCTGTCAGGCACAAATGAGGGAACATGTGGCTCTGAGAGCTACTGGCAGCTGTTCCAGAACTGTGATGAGAGCCAGTTTTAGGTTAAAGTCAACACTGCAACAGGCAGGGTGAAGAACACAGACAGAAGCTGCTGCTTCTGGCCAGGCGTGGTGGTTCAGGCCTGCAATTGCAGCACTTTGGGCAACTGAGGCAGGAGGATCCCTTAAGCCCAGGAGTTCAAGACCAGCCTGGGCAACATAGGGAGACCTCGTCGCTACTGAAAAAATGTAAAAATTAGCCAGGCATGATGGTGTGCACCTGTGGTCTCAGCTCAATTGATCTCAGGAAGCTGAGCAGTGAGTCGTGACCGTGCCACTGCCCTTTCACCTGGGTAACAGAGATCCTGTCTCAAAAAAAAAAAAGAAGAAGAAGAAGCTGTTTCTTCATGACATCCATGAGCCACTGCTGCTACCTTGAAGGTCAGCCCAACCTCTGGATTTTCTCCTTTATAAGCTCATACATTTCTTCATTTTTCCATTTTTTTAAAACCAGGTTGAGCCAAAAGCATCCAAGGAATGACTTTGAGATTCCTGAGAACTACAGCTTCATATTCCTCATTTATCCACTGTAGGCTGTGTCTCTTAGAAGATGCATTCTTCATTAATTTTATTTTATGTTATTTTGAGACAGGGTCTCACTCTGTCACCCAGGCTGGAGTGCAGTGACATGATCACAGCTCACTGTAGCCTCAACCTCTTGGGCTCAAGCAATCCTCCCACCTCAGTCTCCCAAGTAGCTGAGACCACAGGTGCATGCCACCACCCCAGCTAATTTTTTGTATTTTTTCGGTGGAGACAGGGTTTTACCATGTTGCCCAGGCTGGTCTCCAACTCTTGGGCTCAAGTGATCCTCCTGCCTCAGCCTCCCAAAGTGCTAGGATTACAGACATGTGCCACTGCGCCTGGCCAGGTTCATTTATGTTTATTGACCTGACCAAGAATGGTCCCTTTAACAAGATGTTTTGTTGTTTATTTCTTGAAGGGAAATAAAACCAAATTAATTGGTAGAAATACAGAAAGATAATAGAATGTATCAGGAAGAAAGAGAATGTATCAAGGGAGTTAATTTTTTAGGACTCATTAGAACAAGAATTTTTGTCCATTTTTTAATTTTTATAGACTTAGGGGATTTTTTTTTTTACAATTTTACAATTTTTTACAATTTTTAAATAATTTTTACAATTATTTTTACAGTTTTGTTACGTGTTACATGGATATTTGACATAGTGGTGAAGTCTGGGCTGTTAGGGTAACCATCACCCAAATGGTGAATATTGCACCCAATAGATAATTTCTCATCCCTCACCCTCCTCCCACCTTTCCAAGTCTCCAATGTCTATTATTTTACTTTCTATGTCCATGTGTGCACATTAGTTAGCTCCCACTTATAAATAAGAATGTGTGGCATTTGACTTTCTGTTTCTGAGTTGTTGCACTTCAGATGATGTCCTCCAGCTCCATCCATGTTGCTGCAAAAGACATGATCCTTTTTCATGGCTGAGTACTATTCCACTGTGTATATGTACCAAATATTCTTTAACCAGTCATCCACTGATGGACACTTAGTTTAATTTCTTATCTTTGCTATTGTGAATAGTGCCACAATGAACATAGGAGTGCAGGTATCTCTTTTATAGAGTGGTTCCTTTTCTTTTGGGTGGATACTGCATAGCAGGATTGGTGATCAAATGGTAGTCCTATTTTTAGTTCATTTTGTTTACTGCTGAATCTCTAGCATCTAGAACAGATAAGGCACTTTTAGAATATTTATCAAAGTCTTCCTCCCGAGAATATTGATCAAGGGTCCACAAAGTATCAGACACTGTGCTAGCCTCCGTGTTAGGGTATGGGAAAATGTGAGTCTCAAATGGGAAAAAGCCAGGCTTCGGACCAGACCCCAGGGTGACCGTGGAACCCATGGAAGCAGCCTGGAAATTCTGACTTGGCCTCCAGACCTTCGCAAGTCCCACTCATGTTTCAGCAGGACACATCCTCATTTCACCGCAGAGACGGAGCTGGTCCCGTGGCCAGAGTTCACCACCCCGAGGACTGATTGCCTCCTGGGAATAATGTTTTTCCCCTTTACACAAAGTGTCAGAGGCCTCCCACACGATTCCCTTTAGGCCCTTGATCTGTGAGGCTCCTGGGATTTTTCCACAGTGGAGCAAATAACATCAGTCACGAGAAAGCTGCAGCAGACAAATCTTCGTGGTCAGGCAAAAGCGCAAAATGAGCATCTCTGTTGCAAGTCAAAACAGGGCAATGGATATTGGCAGAGGTGGGGCCAGCCTCGGGCGTGCAGGCAGAGGCTGGAGCACAGCTCCGGGAATGGACAGGATCCCCTCTACCCCCTGGGGAAGAAGGAGAGCTCACCTCTCAACTTTCCATCCATATCTGAGTTTCCGAGGGATAAAATCATCAGCCAATCAGGTTGTCCTTAGAATGCAAGGCCGTCATGGGGCTTCTACCAACAGAAGGAAGCTGGTGGTGTATGCTCCAATCTCCCCACTCCGATGGTTGTCCTCATCACGGAGGAGCCAGTTACAGTGATCCAAGATGCATCTGCTCCCAGGGGCAGCTTGAGAAGGAGCAGGTGGCCCTATGGGTGCATGGATGGGCAAGGGGTCCTCCCCACAGGAGGAGCCCTGCACCCATGCCTTCCCAGAAAGAGGAGTGCACTGCAAATCCAAAAGACACAGCCCTGCTAACAGTAGCTATTTCCCGGGAACTGAATTTAGGGTGGAGGGGGCATGGTGTCATGAAAAGGAACTTTCGCTTTTCAGGTTATGTATGTATAGTTTTCTGAACTGGTATCACAACCACATGCTGCTTCTGTGTAACACTGATTTGGTCAAAAAGCCCTGTTCCTCCTGAGAATCACCAAATTGCTTCCCAAAGATGCTATATCCTTCACACCAAACTTAAATCACTGGCTACTGAGAATACGCAGTCTTTGCGCACAATTGCGTCTTCTGTCTGCCCCTCCCGCAGGTCCCAGACACAATTTCTTCATGGCTTCTTCAGCCTTTCCACCCTCAGCCTCTGTCTCCAAATTGTAACCCATTTTACATGACCACACAGGGACACATCATCATTCTTTATGGAAGAAGGTGAGATAGAAACAAATAATGAGGTGTTGATTGATTGAATTTCCTGAATCCTAGACCTTAGGATCTTGAAATGCCCCTTTTCCTGCTACGATAGCCCATCCAATGCCTTCCGCTCCACCGGCTCCTCTGAGAGCTCAAACTCATGAATAACTCTCTACAAATGCATACTCTTTCTTCATGAACATGATGATTTTCTGGACTTCCTGCTCCCTCCTTTGCCCTGATTGAGTTGGACAATCTAGGAAGAAACCTGAAAATTGCCTACACCCTTTTCAGTCATCATTTAGCCTAAGATGCCAGCTTTTCTCTATTCCAATGTCAGCTCTCCTGCTTCTCAGGGACCCAAAGATCCCAGGAGAATTTATCTTCTCTTTATGAAGGTTCATTACCAAAGTCAATGAGGAAGGATAATTGAGAGAGAATGCCTGCCACCCAGGGAGATGCATCACTGCACTGCCTCTCATGGTTGTCCTGCCCAGATTGCAACCATTGCCCCTTGCTAGAGTTATAACTCTTGACAGTATCAAGAGCACGTCCCCCATGGGAGTATGAAGTGCAGGTGGAGAGTCAAATCCCAGGGCTCTTCAGGTGGGGTCCATGGGCTTCAAGGCATCCATGAATACCTTGAACTTGTATTCAGGATTTAGGGCTTCCATGTATGGTTGTTTTTTTCTGGGCAAATGAGCCAGAATTTTAGTTAGATTCTCCATACAGTCTGTGTGCCAGTTGAGTTCTTCCTGGAGAAGACTGCAGCAGTGTTTGGAGTACAAAAAGTGGACTGGGGAGTCATACTTGCAAAATGCAATTGGGCAGGGGGAGGGTCACACCATGATGCAGACCTGGCCAAGAGTCTTCCAGCCTAGCAGGGAGTTCCAGAGCAAAGGTAGACTGTACCTCATATGCAGAAGGCTGGAAGAAGATGCCACTCCCACTCTATAGTAAGAAAAAGCTTGGCCAGGTACAGTGGCTCATGCCTGTAATCCTAGCACTTTGGGAGTCACTTGAGGTCAGTAGTTCAAGACCAGCCTGGCCAACATGGCGAAACCCGGACTCTACTGAAAATACAAAAACTAGCCAGGTGTGGTGGTGCATGCCTGTAATCCCAGCTACTCAGGAGGTTGAGGCACAGGATCCCTTGAACCTGGGAGGCAGAGGTTGCAGTGAGCCAAGATCACACCACTGCACTCCAGCCTGGATGACAAAGCAAGACTCTGTCAAAAAAAGAAAAGGAAAGAAAAGAAAAAGCTTGAATGTATATTTAAATTATAACTTTTCCTGAACCCAGGATGTCCTGTGTTGGGCAGAAACAGAAAGGCTCTTGTGCCATTGCCTTTTGAAGTCATTGATCTTTGGTGGTCATCCTGGTGAAAGCATGCCTTCAGCTACCTCCACGTGGCTCTGACATTGGTCGAGGTGCCCCTGAGAAGAGTGTGACCTCAGCTCAACAGCCCAGGCAGATCGGGAAGGAGCTCCTAGAGGTTTTCAGCCAACCACACTCTTCACAGCTGGGCAGTGAGTCCTTTCTTGAAGGAGGATCCAAGGTGGGTGTCTACGTCTATCACAGTCCACCTCATGAACCTCACAAATCCACGTCTCCATACACATACACCACCTTACAGAAAGAATACTCAGTTTTAATCTCTTCCTTTTTCTGTATTCCACTATAAGCCATGCTATTATGCCCACATTTTCAGGAAAAGTCTCTTATATATAAATGGATTTGTAGTAATGGTTCTTTTTGGAATGAAAGAGAAAGAAACTATTCTGGATTCCATTCTTAAAGGATCAAATATATCAAATATACTGTCATCAACAGGAAAACAGCCTGACATTATGAGCCACATGGTATAATACAGTATGTATTATGTAGTATCACCTATTGTCCCAAAAGCCTTTCTTCTGAATCTAATCAGAAAATACTAGGGACAGGGACAGGCGTGGTGGTTCACGCCTATAATCCCAACACTTTGGGAGCCCAAGGCAGGAGGATCACCTGAGGTCAGGAGTTCGAGACCAGCCTGGTCAACATGGTGAAACTCTGTCTCTACTTAAAATACAGAAAAATTAGCCAGCCATGGCGGTGCATGTCTATAATCTCAGCTACTCAGGAGGCTGAGGCAGAAGAATGGCTTGAACCCAGGAGGCGGAGGCTGCAGTGAGCCTAGATCGCACCATTGCACTCCAGCCTGGACAACAGAGACCCCATCTCAAAAAAAGGAAAAGAAAAAAAGAAAATACTCGGGGACAGAGGAACAAATTAAGTGACACCTCCAAGAATAATCATGCAGCTCTAGAATGTGGGACATTCTATAAGGCAACTGGCCTTTACGTTCTTAATAAACTTGCTTTCGCTTTACAGACTCGTCCTGAATTCCTTCTTGCACAAGATCCAAGAACCCTCTCTTGGGGTCTGGATCTGGACCTTTTTCTGTAACAGTTTCATGCGCACTCTGGGATGGCATTCACCGCTGGGCAGCCCCTCTCCCTCCCCTGTTTGTTTAAGGAGCCTGACTGGATTCAGGCAGTTCGTGCCAAGTCCCTAGAAATGAGCCAGGGTTAAAGTCAACCAGTCAGGGCAGTTTCATTCCTTTTCACTGCTGTTTGGCCTAGGGGTGGGCAGGTGGGCTGGGTCTGGTGAATGCCACTTAGAGAGTCAGCTGGTAGCCTCTAGGGAGGCTTTTCCTCCTTAACCACAGAGTGAGCAATGTGAGGGAGAGTCCCTGCAGGGCTTCTGGCCATGCTTCCTGCCTGGACTCTGCTATTCAAGGCCATGCCCCTTTGAGCTGTGGCATCAGTCATTTCCTGGGACGGATAAAAATGCAGAGTGGAGAGAAGAGACGTCCTGGGGTAGGACCCAGCCCAGGAGATCCCTAGTTCCACATCAGCTTCTCATGATGGGTTCGTCACAAACTCCGCTGAGCCCTTCCCGTCAGGCTGTCTAGAAGGGGCAGCTCGTTAGTTCCTACCCTTCGACCCGGCCATTCCCCTTCCAGACACTTATCTTAAGGAAACTGTTCAGCATTTGCTCAGTGAATGATTCATGATTGTAAACAGCACAGGTATGGTTCTTAACAGTAAAAGCCAGTTTAAAACCAACTTAAATGTCCAATAATAGAGTGGGGGGTTGAAGAAGTCATCATATAATGGCACAGAGCAATATTAGCTGCTAAACGTAATACTGTAAAGAGCACATAGGACTATGGAAAGATGCCATGATACGTTATTAGGAGAAAATTACATCACAAAACAGAATGTGTATTATGGTTCCTTTTGATAGATCACACACATATGCACAGACACAGACAGAGACAAAGAAAAGATCTCTACCTAAATCCTAATGGCAATTATCTGTGGGTGATGGGATTATGGGCATTTTGAAAAACTTTCTTTCTGCCTATTTCCATTTTCTGATTTTTCTGCAATGAACATGTGCCTCTTTCCTGGTATTTTCCATAGACCCTAGAATCGTGCTGGACCACAGTAGGTATTCAATTAAACCAAAGTTAATGGAATGAGTAAAAAGAGGAAATCATTTTGGCCTTTTTGCTTCTAGATTATTCCCACATATAGAATGGTTTGGGGAGTGGGAATACTCTATTCATAGGCAATGTAAATTCATCCTAAGCTTTACTTCTCAGGAAACAGTGACTGCCCTTGCTTTGATGTCAAGGGACGCTGCACAGTTTCTAGAAGTCTGGATTTCGCGTCCCATTCCTCTGTATCCTCACCCATACCTGTCCCCTGCCTGCCTCCTCTGCCCACCACCTTGGCGCTAGGGTGAGTGTTGAGGTGTGCGAGGCAGCGGCAGGGGGAGCACCTGTGGAGAGGGTGTTAGCCGCTGAGCTGACAAAACAGAAAAAACTTAGCGTAAAGAACAGTCTCCAAGCCAAGCCTAATTTAATAGCTATTGAGAGCCACATCATTCTTCTTTCATTCCAAGAGTGATGATTTAGCACCCATTATGTGCCAGGGATTAGGCTGGGAACTGGAGACACTGAGATGAATGAGCTGTGATCTCTGCTCTCCATTAGCTCATCATCTAGAGGCAGAAAGAGACTAACAAATCATGAAACCGCAGCACAGCCAATGCAAGGATAAACTAATGCACAAAGGCAAGAAGGGAAATTAAAACCGATCATTTAGGCGAGATGGAATCGGAAGAGTCTGGCAGAGGAGGGGCTGTGAACTGAGTCTCAAAGTGGGAGCAGGAACTTACAAGGGGAAAAGCATCATGCTTGAAGGAACAGCAGCTCGGCAGGAGACAACCGGTCACACTGAGCAACCAGCACCCAGCGTGTTCGGCACCTGGGGCAGGTCGTTTTTAACACCATCTCCCTCCATAAACTACTGATAGTGATAATTATGAAATTAAATGAATGATAGTAACAGCCAGAGTAAAACTGCTGATTGTAGCATTTTCCTTTTATCAAACTTTGTGTGTCTCATGTCTAATCAGACAGTTACAAAAATTAGCAGTAAATGGCAATAAAATCAAAGCATTTGCAAAAGGTAAAAGGTAGGCAGCTATGAAATCATGTCACGGACATTTAATTTCTTGATTTGTCCTTTTGTTTTCAAACAAGCAATAATTAAAAAGCAGTTTCACGTTAAAGCTATCATCACATTTAGTAAGAGATTTCTCATGCGAGCTAAAACTTGCTCTTGCCAAACAAAAGTATTCTACCCCCCAGTTCATACAGTTTCACCAGTTTAAATTTTAAACACTGATTTAGAAATTCCAGGTGGTCACAGGGGATGGCAAAGCGAAATAACTCAAGTTCTGTTTCTTTTCCAGTCACTGATAATCATTGCTTATTTGATTCCACTGTTTAAACAGAAGAGTATGCAGCTCTCACTATGTGCAAAGTCAGCTAGAAGGATTCTGAACTATTAACGGCTTGCTCTTGAAACCAGGGCGTATAGCTAAGTTGACATGTGTTGGAAGTTGACTGTGAGCAGTCGGCCGGTCTCCAAATTTACTTCCATATAGAAAACAATATTTACAAACAAATGACTAATAAAAATCTGCTAATGTGAAACCTTAACATATCATTAAAACTCGGCCAGCACCCCAGCAGTTGTTTAGAACGCATACCAACCAGAGATCTTTTTTCTGGAAGGTGTGTTTAGTAGCTGACATTGTTTAGAATTGCCAGCACATGGCAAAAGTAGATTTTAGCCTATTTTATGATTGTTTTTAAATTTCTCTATGGGCAGTGTCCCTGTTATTGCCTGCACCCCAGGCAGATGGCTCACACGGCCCCATTCTTGGCACACCGCTGACAGTAGGTATTTCATTAGAGCTGAAACTTCAGATAAGATTGGAGCCGAGATGGAGAGACAGTGGTGAGAGATGAGGACAGGTAGAAAGAGCCCAGGCAAAAACAAATTGGAAAAAAATGTATATTTTATTCTTCCAAGATACAAATTATCCTGGTAGATAGAAAAGGAGCTTTCAATCCTACCTCTGTGTTCTTTACCGAAAAGTTCAGCCAAGCTTTCCAGCCCTCCACACAGAAGCCTGTCCGCCTAATCAGGACCCCTCCAAGAGATGACGACAGACAGCCAAGACAATCCCGGAGGCCAGAGCTAAGCACAGCCCCGCTTGCCACCCCTGAGATCAACCCCCAGAGCTTTCCTGTAACCTGCTACTTGGCTACTTTGTCATTTTCCCTTCATCATTTGGCACTTATTCCTGCCCCCGATTCTTATGAACAAGGCCCTCTTTAAATGTAGTCTGTGCCTCTACTTGCAGAAACGTGTGATTCTTGGAGCTATTTCAGGGACCTGGTTTGACATTGCAGCCTTTATACCTTATAGGGACAGATGAAGAGGAATGCAGTGTTCCCAGCTCAGGGAATGCCTGACTTCGACACTTTCAGGCAACTCCAGTGGTATTACTACTGCACACCATTGTGGGTTTGCCTTTACAAAGCATTTTCTTTTTTTCTTTTTTCTTTTTTTTTGAGACGGAGTCTAGTTCTGTCACCCACGCTGACGTGCAGTGGTGCAATCTTGGCTCACTGCAACCTCCGCCTCCCGGGTTCAAGTGATCCTCCTGCCTCAGTCTTCCGAATAGCTGGGATTACAGGCGCCCGCCACCACACTCGGCTAATTTTTGTATTTTTAGTATAGACGGGGTTTCACCATGTTGGCCAGGCTGGTCTCGAGCTCCTGACCTCAAGTGATTCGCCTGCCCCAGCTTCCCAGAGTGCTGGGCCCAGAGAGCCACTGGGCCCAGCCAACAAAGCATTTCTTGACTATAATTTGTAGTGGCTTGCTGGTAGGTCTTCCGTAGGGAACCTGAGAGGTTCTGCCAGAAAAGGAGGAATTAGGGAGAGCAAAAGGCCACAGGTGGCAGGAACAGAACTACCTGGGATCAGAGGAGTGCTTTTGGTGATTTTCCATGGCGGCCCATGCAGGGAGATAGGGGAGCATGGGAAATTGGAAATCAATACAGGAAATCACATTCCTGTATTGATAATGTCATTTTCCTATCTGAGAAAGGGCTGTGAATGTCTCTTTTCTGTCAAGGGCAGGATGAAAAGCAGTCGTGATATGACTGGAGAGGCTGTGAAACCACAAAGCGTGCGCTTCAGTTCTGTCTCTGTTCATTCCCATTAGTGAAGAGTGAGGCAGAAAACTTAGCTTTTTTTGAATCTTAATTTCAACATCTGTTTCTAAGAAGATGAAATTCCATGGGTTTTTTTTCTCTTTTAACTTCAGTTTATTAATCTGCAAAACATTGACCTGCTACCTCACAGCATTCTTCACATATGATAAGAAACAGCATGTTAAAATACTAAACAAAGTTTAAGAAATGATGCAGATATACTATTAGGGTAGATTGTAGATTATAGTTCTATCACTTATCTCTTTCTTATTTTCTGAGAAGCTCTTATGAACATCGATTTAATTATTTCTTTTCCCTCTTTATTTACGAGCATACATGTCTTATTCAAGATTTAAAATATCACTTGGAAATTAACAAGGCGTTTCACAAATATAGTAGTATTCCTTATTTGTTCACGATATTTTGTCCCAAAATGTTGCTTTTAAAAAAATAAAAGAACTACATATAAAATTGTGGTAGAGTAGAGTCAAGGCCGACTATAAACAAATGCTCGTCAGCCAACAGAAGAAATCTATCCTGCAATATGGGTGACTTTCCCAGTGTACCATGATAGTTCCTTAAAGCTGTTATGAAATATTCCATAAACCTGTATTTAGAGACTTTTTTTTTCGAATATCTTTTTAATGACTTAAACACCAGCGCAGAGACTCGCGATGTAAACAGCCTCATTTCTGTGCTCTGTGCTTTGGGAGGGACAGGGACACCATTTCCCACCTTGGCTGAGATAAAACCTGCCTTGTAAATTAATAAATAATTTCCTAACTAACACGGCAAAAAAAGAAAAAAAAATCCCAACGAGACCTAGTTTCCATCCAGGGACAGGATGTTTCTGGACACCCCCGGTCACTGCTCCTCCTAAGGGCCTGGCTGTGGCTACTGCAGGGAGGATGTAGTGAGAATGGCTTCCCTTCTGCTGTTTGCTGCTGTCTACACCGGCCAAGAACCTGCTCCTGTCTGCCTGGGCTGATGGAGTCTCGCTCTTGAGAAAAATCTTGCTGGGGCAGGTCCTCTGGCAGCCCCAGCACCTTACCCTGAGTCATGGGAGAAATTCCATGATTTATGCGAAAACAGCTAATGCCCGTCAATCCAAGCTGTTCAGAATATATTAGCTTACATCTATTCAAGTGAATAGAGTCATATAAAGTAATTCATTTCCTGCATCAGTAGATTGTGAGAATTGACACATTTTTAAAAAATGTTGTATTCAGGAAAGTGAAACATTTATGGAAACAGCACAGTATCATGAGCTGGTGTACCCATCACCCGGTCTCTGCAATCAGCACCTCATGACAAACGTGGCTCTTTCTACACTGTCCTCTCCCCCATTCCTGATTATTTTGAAGCAAAAATCCAAGACAGCCTATGATTTCATCCATAAATATGGCGATATGTCTAAAAAGTTATTCTTTAAAAAAATTATAATACTCTTTTGGCTGGTGGCCGGCGGGGGTGAGGGGCGGGGATGGAGTCTTGCTCTGTCGCCTGGGCTGGAGGGCAGTGGCACAATCTCAGCTCACTGCAACCTCCACCTCCTGGGTTCAAGAGGTTCTCCTGCCTCAGCTTCCCAAGTAGCTAGGATTACAGGCATGCACCACCATGCCTGGCTAATTTGTGTATTTTTAGTAGAGCCGGGGTTTCGCCATGTTGCCCAGGCTGGTCTCAAACTCCTGACCTCTGCCTCCCAGGTTCAAGCTATTCTCCTGCCTCAGTCTCCCAAGTAGCTGGGATTACAGGCACATGCCACACACTTCGGCCTCCCAAAGTGCTGAGATTATAGGCGTCAGCCACCACGCCCAGCGAAAAAATTATAATACTCTTATTACACCCCAAAAATGGCCAATAATGCCTTACCGTCATCAAAAACCCAGTTGGTATGCAATTTTCTAGTTTGTCGCATAAATGTCACAAATGTGTAGATTTAGGTTTTCATTTTTTACAATTTTTTTGAATCAGAATCCAACTAGGTTTCTCACATTGTAATTGGGGATCTGCCTCAAGTGCCTGTATGGAGACTGGACATCCCACCCGCCCTCTCTTTTTTTTATTTGTGCAGTGTTTTGTTGAAATCAGTTTGTTTGTCCTGTAGAGCATCCCAAAAGTCCCATGGACTTGTTGGCACATTCCCGTGTGCCTTTTAACTTGTTCTTCTATTCTTTGTGTGTCTCATAAATTGCTAGTTTCTTTTTGGCAAGACTACTTTATGGGGTGGCCTATCGGCATCTTTAAAATGATGTTTATAAAATGACTTTCCAGGGGATTCCAGAAACAAGAAAGATTTACACTGATCAAGAAGGTAAAGACATGGTCCTGGCTGATGCATGGTGATGATTTAATAATAACGCTCGCTGTCATGGGTGTAACAGATTAACTCACAGTATAATAAATAGGAAGTTTAGAATTAAGCCTAACTGTAGGCAGCAAATGTTTTTTTTAAAAGAGAACATGCCTTTAGCGCCTGTTTTTATTATCTGAATAAATTAAAGGAGTCTAAATGCACTTGGTGGTCTTAACTATAATGAGGTACATTCAAGCTGTTTTCTTCCCTGTTTATTTTATTTATTTTTTGAGACAGAGTCTCTCTCTGTCACCCAGGCTGGAGTGCAGTGGCATGATCTTGGCTCATTGCAACCTCTGTCTCCCAGGTTCAAGCTATTCTCCTGCCTCAGCCTCCCAAGTAGCTGGGATTATAGGCACAGACCACCACCATGCCCAGCTAATTTTTGTATTTTTGGGAGAGATGGGGTTTTGCCATGTTGGCCAGGCTGGTCTTGAACTCCTGACCTCAGGTGATCCTCCTGCCTTGGCCTCCCTAAGTGTTGGGATTATGGGCATGAGCCACCGCACCTGGCCTTCCCTGCATTTTAGAGAGAAGTGGGTGAAGTGTATTGAAAAGGCTGTTTTGAAGTCAGTGGCTTCCAAATCAAACAATGATGCTTTCTCCTTGTCTTGATCCATTTTAAACTGCTATAACAGAATACCGCAAAAATGGCTAATTCATAAAGAAAGGAAATGTAATTCTGGAGGCTATGAAGTCCCATATGAAGGTGCCAGCATCTGGTGAGGGTTTTCTCTGTGTTATCCCATAGCAGAAAGCAAGAGCGTGAGAGAAAGGAATGGGGAAGGGGGCAGAACTTGTTATTTAATAAGAAAATCACTCCCATGACAACTAACCCATTCCTGGCATAATGGCATTAATCCATTCATGAGACAGAGCCCTCATAACCTAATCACATCTTAAAGGTCCCATCTCTCAACACCGCTGCATTAAGGACTAAGTTTCCAACACATGAACTTTGGGTGACCCATTCAAACCCCGGCACTCCTCAATACCTTTCCCACTGGATGCATCTGCAAGGATTTTCATCACCTCAGGCTGTGGCACCAGACGGTGGAGCCTCAGATTCTCAATCGGGACAATACAGACAACCATCATGCCACAGTGGGGCAAGTATGGCATTGTGGCAGAAAGAAAGAAGGAAAGGGAGAAAGGGTGGGGGAGGGAGAGAAGGAGGAAGGAAGGAAGGAAGGAAGGAAGGAAGGAAGGAAGGAAGGAAGGAAGGAAGGAAGGAAAAAGAGAAGGAGATATTTTAAACTACAGTCTATAGTCCTAATTCATTCTCAGTACATAGAAATGTTCCTTTCTTTGGGGCCACTGCTGGTAGCCATCTACATCCTGATTGCGTTCTCCAGAGAAACAGAACCAGTAGGGTGAGTGTGTGTGTGTGTGTGTGTGTGTGTGTGTGTGTGTGTAGTACGCATGCATGTGTGTGTGTCTGCATGCATGCATGTGTGTGTGTGGTTTATTATAATGAACTGGCTCATGGGATTCTGGGGGCTGGCAAGTCCAAAATCTGCAACGTGAGCCTCAGCCTAGAGACCCAGGATAGCTGATGTTGCAGCTCAGGTTCGAGGCCATTGCTGTAGAAGCAGGAAGAGCTGATGCTGTGGATGGAGCCTGGAGGCCGCCTGCTGGAGGATTCCCTCTTGCTCAGGGGAGGTCAGTCTTTTGTTCTATTATAGTGAGGTCTTCAACTGATTGGACAAGGCCCACCCACATCAGGGAGGGTGGCCTGCTTTACTCAAAGTCTACTAATTGAAACGTTAATTTCACCCAAAAGCACCCTCAAAGAAACACTCAGCATAATGTTTAACCAAATATCTGGGCACATTGGCCCAATGAAGTTAATACGTAAAACTAAACATTACACTGATGAACTGAGAAAGTTGTCCTGTCACTACTTATGACCCCGTAACTTGGTTGTCTCACATCCTACTGGAAGAGCCTCATGAAAGAGACATGAGTGTGTTACATCTTTGGCAGGTCCCTGAGACCTGCTCTCCTTTGCAGGGCCCAGGACACGGCCTTCCATGGGGGAAGTCGTGATGAATAGTTATTATGTTGAATAGAGGCTCTGTGTCTGGAGTAAAGGTGTTATCTCCTTCCTCCACTATCTCAAATCTTAATTCATCTTTCTGGGTTTTCATACATTTCTTTTTTTAATATCTAATATGTAGGGAAATCTGTTACATTTTTGAAAAGCAACCCTGACTTCAGCTACTTGTTGATCTGAGCCCACGGCCATCCACCACATTGTGATGATGGCCTCTGGCCTGTCCCACAAACCCAGAGAGAGGCTGAAGACACAGCCTGTTTCCAGCCATCTGAGGACTAAATGCCCCCAAAATACCACTTAACCATTCCACAGATATTTTCAAATGCATCTCTGAGAGGTAATGCAATATCCAAGCCAGCTTGCATCCTGAGTTTCTGCTTTGATAGATGCATAGGGTTCAGGGACAGGAGACAAAGCCTAGAATCATCATAGAAAACTGGAACCCCCTTTGCCCAAAGGGCAAATCCTCAGAATAAGAGGAATGAGAAGGCCAAGTGCAGTGATGCGCACCTGGAGTGCCAGCCACTCATGAGGCCCAGGCGGGAGGATCACTTAAGCCCAGGAGTTTGAGGCTGCCATGAGCACTGATCACACCTGTGAAGAGCCTCTGCTCTCCAGCCTGGGCAACATAGCAAGACCCTGTCTCTAAAAATAAAAAAGAGGAAGGAGAAATTAACCCAATGTAAATAACAAAAAAATAAAGGAAACAAAACCTGCTTGTCTTGACCTCAGCACTCTGGGGAGAAGGGGAAAAAAACCTGCCCTTAGAAGTTGTTACCTCAAACCAGGTTCCAGGCAGATTTCCAGTCTGAATTCACATTACCTGTGTGATCTGAAAAGACCCATTTGGATATTTACGTTTAAAGTGTTCAGGGATGGTAGTCCTCCTAGGCAACTGACAGAAGCAGATATTCTCTGGAGAGATTAAGGTGCTTCAACCAGGCCTTAAAGAAGTCCCACAGATAAAGTAACCAGGAAAGTCAGCAGCTCACAGTAAAAGAATTTTTAAACACGAAAGAAAGAAAAGCCCTCTGTGTGCAAGCAAACAGAACCTCAGGCCCCAGAATCCCACTTGCCAATACTTCAGTGCTTAAGGAAATAAATCAGGAGCTTAAAAGCAAGAACGAGGAATGAGAGAGTGCAAGGAACGGCTAAGCATGCTTGAAAAGAAAACAAATTTCATAAATGTAGGAATGCCTACAAATTGGCTGGGTGTGGTGGCTCACGCCTGTAATCCCAACACTTTGCAAGGCCAAGGCAGGAGGATAGCTTGAGCTCAGGAGTTCAAGGCCAGCCTGGGCAACATAGTGAGATGTCATCTCTACTAAAAAAAAAAAAATTCCTAATATTTTTAATTTACAATAGTAAGAGATGGTGGCTTATGCCTGTAATCCCAACACTTTGCAAGGCCGAGGCAGGAGGATAGCTTGAGCTCAGGAGTTCAAGGCCAGCCTGGGCAACATAGTGAGATGTCATCTCTACTTAAAAAAAAAAAAAAAAATTCCTAATATTTTTAATTTACAATAGTAAGAGATGGTGGCTCACGCTTGCAATCCCAACATTTTGCAAGGCCAAGGCAGGAGGATAGTTTGAGCTCAGGAGTTCAAGGCCAGCCTGGGCAACATAGTGAGATGAGTGAGATGTCATCTCTACTAAAAAAAAAAAAAAAAAAAAAAAAAAATTCCTAATATTTTTAATTTAAAATAGTAAGAGATGGTGGCTCATGCCTGTAATCCCAACACTTTGCAAGGCCGAGGCAGGAGGATAGCTTGAGCTCAGGAGTTCAAGGCCAGCCTGGGCAACATAGTGAGATGTCATCTCTACTAAAAAAAAAAAAAAAAGTTCCTAATATTTTTAATTTAAAATAGTAAGAGATAGTGGCTCATGACTGTAATCCCAACACTTTGCAAGGGTGAGGCAGGAGGATAGCTTGAGCTCAGGAGTTCAAGGCCAGCCTGGGCAACATAGTGAGATGTCATCTCTACTAAAAAAAAAAAAAAAGTTCCTAATATTTTTAATTTAGAATAGTAAGAGACGGTGGCTTATGCCTGTAATCCCAGCACTTTGGGAGGTCGAGGAGGGCAGATCACTTGAGATCAGGAGTTTGAGATCAGCCTGGTCAACATGGTGAAACTCTGTCTCTTCTAAAACTACAAAAAATTAGCCAGGCGTGATGGCTAAGAGATAAAAAGAACATACTAGATACATTTAATGTCTAACGGTAGTAGTAGCCCGCAGAGGATGGCTGGACTGGCATATAGGCCTGCAGAAGGGATACGTGATGCTGTACAGAAAGATAGATGGATTCTTAGGGTGTGCTGAGCTGTGGGGACTCATGACCCCAAATCCACCATGTCTCAGGTTACACAGGTTTAGATCTGCTCCCTAAAGGGCAGACTAACTGCCCTGCTGGGTCAAGTTGTCATCAGTTACATCCATTAGTGCTTTCCAGAGAAAATAAAAGGGAGCTTTCTATCTAAATATTTAAATCTATCTGTTACTGCAGTAAGTAAACAATCTGAAAATCCAGATTAGCACAATTGGTCTTTAACAAGGATTCTTCACTTTAAGAAACAAGGTGCGTCTCTGGGGCACTAAAACTCTGATTAGAAAACAGATCAAAGCAGCACTCTGTGTTGATGGCTTCTCCACATGGTGACTCAGGGACCCAGGATCCTTTCATCTTGTGTCTCTGCCGTCCCCTGCACTCTCATTTTCATTTGGGTCCAGCCAGCCACAGGTGAGACTGTGGGGTGCATCCATGTCGTAGAAGCTTCAGCTAAGAGATGGGACACTTCACTCCTGTT
The DNA here is from genome assembly GCF_000001405.40 of Homo sapiens. Classification (NCBI taxonomy): domain Eukaryota; kingdom Metazoa; phylum Chordata; class Mammalia; order Primates; family Hominidae; genus Homo; species Homo sapiens. The sequence continues at coordinate 6,303,879 of NC_000010.11, read as the reverse complement.
CTGTTCTATTGGCTGGAACTCACTATCAACACTTATTTTTCATTTTCTTCATTTTTCCATTTTCTTTTTTTTTTTTTTTTTAGATGGACTCTCACTCTGCTGCCCAGGCTGGAGTGCAGTGGCGCAATCTCGGCTCACTGCAAGCTCTGCCTCTGGGATTCAAGTGATTCTCCTGCCGCAGCCTCCCGAGTAGCGCCTGCCACCACGCCCGGCTAATTTTTGTATTTTTTGTAGAGATGGGGTTTCACTATGTTGGCCAGGGTGGTCTCGAACTCCTGACCTCGTAATCCACCCGCCTCGGCCTCCCAAAGTGCTGGGATTACAGGCGTGAGCCACCGTGCCCGGCATTGATTTTTGTATTTTCATCAAGAGTAAATAAAGGCTATTTCAGCATTGATTGTCATTTTTTTTTAAACTGGACCCACTTATGTAATACTTAAACTAATAAAAATTGTAATATGAAACCATCGTTGCACTCTGAATAAACCTTATTTTGTCATGGTAGGATGTTGCTACATTGCACCATGTGCTCATATTTTTATTAGAATTTTCACTTCTCTATTTATGAATAAAACCAGTCTACATCTTTCTTTCTTTTTCTTTTTCTTGTTTGTTCTTGCATTAGGATTCTGCTACCTTTGTAAATAAATCAATGTATTCCTCACACAGCATATACATATTTATCAGTCTTGTAAGCTTAGAGCAGTCCATAAATCATAAAAGAGTTTAGGGTGAATTTTAGAAGAGAAAAACAAAAATGAAGTAATAAACAAACAGTTGCTGACAAACAAATATTTGTGCTTTATAAAGCCAGTCCTACGCTTGATCTTACCCACATGCCCTGGACAGATGACAGGAGGCCTGAGTTCTCATCTCTGCTCCGCTCCTGTGTTATCTCACAAGAGTCATGACATCCCGTTACCTCGAGCGCCCTTTCTATGCATAAAGAAGGCACTGGGGAGACGCCATGTCCAAGGTGCCTTCCAACAGTCTGACAGTTTTTCTAAATTTCAAAGATGACTTTCTCAATGCAAAAGCCAAGAAAGATCACATAAAACACACACACACACAAATATATATATATATGTGTATGTGTATATGTGTGTGTGTGTGTGTGTGTGTGTGTGTGTATACACACACATATTTTTATTTTGGGCTCCCACCAGAAAGGAAGATAGGTATAGAAAAACCACAAGTATGGGCCGGGCACGGTGGCTCATGCCTGTATCCCAGCACTTTGGGAGGCCGAGGCAGGTGGATTGCCTGAGGTCAAGAGTTCGAGACCAGCCTGGCCAACATGGTGAAACCCCGTCTCTACTAAAATACAAAAATTAGCTGGGTGTGGTGGCAGGCACCTGTAATCCCAGCTACTTGGGAGGCTGAGGCAGGAGAATTGCTTGAACCCAGGAAGTGGAGGTTGCAGTGAGCCAAGGTTGCACCACTGCACTCCAGCCTGGGCAACAGAACAAGACTCCGTCTCAAAAAAAAAAAAAAAAAAAAAAAAAAAAAAAAAAAAACTGGCCAGGCACGGTGGCAGTGGCTTATATCTGTAATCCCAGCACTTTGGGAGGCCGAGGCAGGTGGATCGCCTGAGGTCAGGAGTTCGAGACCAGCCTGACCAACATGGTAAAACCCCACCTCAACTATAAATACAAAAATTAGCTGGATGTGGTGGCGCATACCTGTAATCCCAGCTATTCAAGAGGCTGAGGCAGGAGAATCGCTTGAACCTGGGAGACAGAAGTTGCAGTGAGCCAAAATCATGCCACTGCACTCCAGCCTGGGTGACAGAGCAAGACTCTGTTTCAAAAAAAAAAAAGAAAAAGAAAAGAAAAGAAAAATCGCAAGTATGTTACCTTCGTATAAATAACAAAGTTAGCTCACTTCTCTGTTTCCTCCTGTTAGGAAGTGGATAAAGCAAAATGATCATCCAGTCACTAACCTGTGTGGTGGGGAACTTACGAGGTTGGTTAGTCATTAATCAGAGCAGATAATAAAGCATGTGACTCTCAGCCCAGTTCTCTGCACTGGAATAATGTGATCCTCATTTCCTGAAATTTAGTCATAACGAAGGAAGTGATTTGAAATTAGCTTCTCTTATAAAGATAGAGGAATCCTGATGAATTAGAGCTCCCTTTCACCTGGGACTTGCCTCCATCACACTTGGCGATCCCCACACCGCCCTTTGAGCTGAGCTGCTCTTGAGGGCAGACGAACTGCCCTACTGGGTCAAGTTGTCATCAGTTACATCCATCAGTGCTTTCCAGAGAAAATAAAAGGGTACTTTCCTCAATCTATCTGTTATTGCAGTAAGTAAAAAACCTGAAAATCCAGATTAGCACAATTCATCTTCAATGAGGATTCTTCACTTTAGGAAACAATGTGCTTCTCTGGGGCACTAAAAACAAGTTTATTTCCAAAACAAATTTTGATCAATGCTCAACAGTTTTTAAGGATGTATCTCAAATGATCTAAGAATATGCATCGACCATTATTTATAAGTAAGGGTGAAGGAAATGCACCTTTATGAAGTCCCTGAAGCACCCAGGGACTGTACCAGATGCCTTACAGGTGTACATATGTACTAGGTATAAAGGTTAGTTTCCTAATCTAGGTATGTGTAAATCCTCATCTTACTTTATTTCCTTGAGTCAAAGTCAATTCCAAGTCACCATTCCATTGAGATAATGAAAAGCCCAATGGTGGATGCCTCCTCCTAGTCAACATCTCCCCCCAAATTATAGGAAGGCACACAGAGCAAGATATCATCTCATGTTCACATGGCCCACGAAGTCTGGCCATGCCAAGCTTGGGCAGAGGAATCTTCTGCAAGATGGCAGCTTCCACTGTTACGGACCAGCCTCCATGGTGCACCAGAAAGGCACTCCCCTCAGGTGTCCTCCCACCTTGCTGGATGTTGCCAAAAATAAAAGAACAAGATTCCTCTATTTCTGGCACCCACAGCTTCCTGTCTCCTTTCAAATCCTGCGTAATTACCCTTCTCTCAAAGGCAGTAGCTTCTCTCTAGTACCTACAGCATAATCGCCTCAAGAAACCAAGGCTTCCAGAACTCAAACCCAGGAAGGAATCTAGGAGGATTCCAGAAATCAAGCCCAGGAATGAATCAAACCCAGCTGCACTCAACTCTGGACTTCCACGGTGCCTCGCGAGACTGGCTTTGCTAAGGCAAGGGCTTCTGGGTGGAGTTAATAAGAAAGCAGCATGAAAAGGTGCTTTGAGACACGACACATCGTTTCCTGCTAACGATCAAAGAATATACACAGCTGTTCCCGTTTCGGAGCAGTTCTGGCCCCAGGAGAGAGTTGCTGAGTTGCTTTCTGGAAAAGCTGGCTTTGACTTTTCAAGGCAGCTCATGCTGCTAAAGGTTGCATAGGCACAGAGAGAGGGAGCTGCCGGGGGCATGGGGGAGCCTTCCCTGATGCAACTGAACTTGAGCTGAGCTCACTATGTCTCTAGAATCTACTACCTATTCCTATTCAATAAATACAAGTATTTATTAAACATCTGTTACGTGCCAGGTCCTGTGTCAAATGATGGAGGAAGTGAAAATGCGTAAGACACAGTCTCACTTTGAAGAGTTCTCAGCCTTGTGGGCAAAGGCAGGAAGGTTCATTGTGTGGCTTGAGTGCACACAGGGAGGCTTTAAAGAATGTGAGAGGAATATGAGGAACAGATGCTGCCCTGGAGTGACTCGCATCTCGCCCGAAGAGACAAACAAGGCACCCAACAACCACAGAACCAGTAAGTGCCAAACCATGGGTACTAACCCTAACTACAATGGGTATTCTGAAAAGGCAGAAAAAATTTAAGTGATCTTAGCATAATCAGACTTGGTGAGGCTTAACATTCCTCCCTCTTCACTAAAAAAAAAAAAAAAAAAAAAAAAAAAAGTCTTCTGAACAGGCACTGCACTAGGCTCTGGGAATGCAAGCCTAGGAAAGTCCAAATCGACGCCTTAAAATGTTCAGCAGACAGTGAAGGAAACATGGAGCTCCAAACCAGGGGCTAAGTGCCACCCTCAACACAGCTTCAGGCCTTCACTCTTCCCAGGAACTGGGGACTGTTTCAGAAAGGGGGTGCCATCTCTGCTGAGCTTTGAAGGAAGGGTAGAAGTTAGCCAGGGAGCAAGGTTGGAGGTAAGGGGTTCTAAGCCCAGGAGACGCCAAGAGTATAAAATTGGGTAAATTCCTGAAAAGTCAAGGTCAAGCAATTCCTGTATAAGGAGAAGATTTGGTGAAATCAAAGAGAAGACAAACTTGAGGCCAGTAAATTATTACCCTTTATCGGTCTTAACAGACGGGAACTAACAATATATCCCTGCGAAAGATCAATGCCGGAGTGAGGCTCAAGTTCACCTCCCGCAGCCTGTGACTCACGGCACACTGACTCAGCCATGCTACCTGCAAGGAGGCACGTTAGGACAACGCAGGGACCCAGCACGTGCCAGTGAGTCTCTCTCTGTCCTAACTATGGGATGCCACCCTCCTGGGTCAGCTGACTCACCCCTGCCTGTAAATCCTAGTCAGGTCTGTAGGTGCCTGGGGAAGAATCCTACCTACCTCTGAGTAAAGACAGGAATAGAAGCTGGTTCGTCTAGAGCAGCAACACAACCAACGTTGAAAAAAGCAAACACCATTTCTGAAAATTGCATGCAGAGTGCATGGTATCAACTGACGTGTCTCCCCTAGGAGAGTGAGCCATTAATGCTTTGCTAACCACAGCGCTATCAAGACCATCGTTTCCAATCCTACAAAGGAAACACCAGGAAAAACAGAATTTAAAGGTTTTATTTGTCAACCTAAAGAGGAGGCAATCAATATCATTTGAGTGCTTTCATTACATCCGAGAAGGAAATGAAATCAGGATGCACCAGCATGGGTTTTAGGCTATGCAGCCAACAGAGATGAACCAGACGTGTCCTCAAGGAGCTTAGAATCAGGTGGAGAAAATAAGATGTCATATAAATTACCTAAGCAATAGTTGGCACAGCACTATAAGCCACCAAATGCTGCATTCTTTTTCCGCACCAACAGATCCGGTATGTCTTCAGGGAGCACCTGCGTTGGGGTGCGTTAGAGATCCATCTGGAAGGCCAGGAAGACATTCAGGACCATTCACAGCTGGAATGCTCCTGAACAGCTGCCCAAGATCCAGGCCTGGCCTTTCAGGATGCCCTGAAAATGCACTGAACAAGGCCAAGTGCAGTGGCTCACACCTGTAATCCCAACATTTTGGGAGGCCGAGGCAGGAGGATTGCTTGAGGCCAGAAGTTCAACACTAGCCAGGGCAACATAGCAAGACCCCATCTCTGAAAAATATTTAAAAATTATCCAGGAAGTGTGCCTATAGTCCTCGCTACTAGGGAGGCTGAGATGAGAGGATCTCTTGACCCCAGGAGTAGAAGGCTGTAATGAGCTATGATCACACCACTGAATTCCTGGGCAAAGAGCAAGACCTTGTCTCAAAAAAAGAAAAAAAAAAAAAAAGTGCCCTGAACCATAGAATAAGTGGACTCTGGACTCTGCCATTCTCCTACTTCCCTTTCTTGAGCCAGTTTCCACGGGCATTGGCCAAGGTAACCTAGGGTAATCCGAGGTTACCCTAGGAGAAGCAGAACTCACAGCTCACAGAGCTGAGACAGAGGAGAAGTGTGTTTGGCTTGGCTTAAACCTAGACTTCCTAGGCCAGGTCACAGTGTCTCCTCCACTTTTTCCCTTTAACTTTTGCTCAAGAGATCAGACTGATTTATAAGATAAACAGACTGCTAGCCAAGAAGTCTCCTTCCTCCCCCCTTCTTTCTGTTCTGGTAAGTTCCATACCTAAATAGAACATAGTGACTTATGGTTCCAGCCCAATTATTAAGAGCCTCTTCAGTCTGGAAGTGTAATGTATATGTTTGTTCATCCACATTCTTGACAGATGAACAGACTGATACCCCCAGGAAGTCATCAGCAGAAGAGAGACGGGTCTTTAGGAACACCTGTAAGCCAAGGTGTTATACAAGACTAGAGATGTGTGGAGCAGAGGTAGAAATACCCACAGATAGGAAAGAGGACCCTTCTGGGATATGGAGAGAAGGAAAGGTCAGCCTACTCAAAAGTATCCTCGATCACTTGACACACCCTCCACAGGGTCATCATCAAGGAGCTGTAATTCATCCATGACAAGAAGCTTCCAGCTCAAATGCAAACATTCCTGAGACAGTTCCCACAGGAGCTCAGAAACGTCCTCCACGTACCCCTCATGGGGACATCTTGCTCCTACAGCAGTAAACGTCTTGCTTCCCTCCAACGGTGCTTCCTTACCTGTCCCTACCTGTGCCACGACCACAGGATGCCTACAAAAAAAAAAAGAAGGACACCTCACTGGCACCTCTCTCCTGATTCTCATCTGCACTTTGTTACCTGGGCTCTGAAGCAGCCCTGCTCCTGCTCTTGGGCCACACAAAGTGCTCACGGATGTGGCCTTTTTATCTTTTGCCTACTCTCTCCCTAGGGTTCAAGCATCATCCCTGTGTCCTAACCAGGGAACAAGTGGCATGTTCCCTTTTCTCCCAGGAACCTACACACAATTGCTTCTCCGATGAAAGCCACTTCCACTGTGCACATCAATCAAGGCAGATGCATAGCAGGGGCCGGGGGACCCTGGGCTGCTCTTCCAGCACTTAGCCAAACACTGAATCTGTTTATGCTCCACTGGGACACAAAGGAATGTCACAGGCACTAAAATATTCCACTTCCTGGTTACGCCCAGGCAAGCCTGGTTGGTGTTAGGAGACCCAGATTCTACCTCAAGATTGTGCTGCTGTTTTCCCTACAGCATGGTTGGTCATACACAGGTGAGGTCCAAGCTTTAATTATCCCTTTACCTTGGGTTCCTGTCAGAGATGTTCAAACCAGAACAATTCCATCTTGAATAGGGGCTGGGTAAAATGAGGCTGAAACCTACTGGGCTGCATTCCCAGGAAGTTAGGCATTCTAGGTCATAGGAAGTCGGCACAAGATACAGGTCATGAAGACCTTGCTGATAAAACAGGATGCAGTAAAGAAGCCAGCCAAAGCCCACCAAAACCAAGATGGCGAAGAAAGTGACCTCTGGTCATCCTCACTGCTCATTACATGCTAATTATAATGCATTAGCATGCTAAGAGACACTCCCACCAGCACCACGACAGTTTACAAATGTCATGACATCAGGAAGTTACCCTATATGGTCTAAAAAGGGGAGGAACCCTCTGTTCCGAGAATTGCCCACCTCTTTCCTAGAAAACTCATGAATAATCCACCCCTTGTTTAGCATATAATCCAGAAGTCACAATAAGTGTAAGCAACTGAGCAGCCCACACCGCTGCTCTGCCTATGGAGTAGCCACTCTTTTATTACTTCACTTTCTTAATAAACTTGCTTTCACTTTATTCTATGGATTTGCCTCAAATTCTTTCTTGAGTGAGATCCAAGAACCCTCTCTTGGTGTCTGGATTGGGACCCCTTTCCGGTAACATTCCTCTAAACTAGGTCTGAGAGTCCTTTTTTTGAATTGAATGGCTACTGAGAAGTTTCCAACAATATTTGTAGAGATCAGTCTATAGTGGGTACACATCTCAGTCTACAAACTTACATTTACTTAAAAAAAAAAAGAAAAGAAAAGAAAAAAAAGAAAATGCCAACTTCCAGTAAAGAACTTGGAAGTCATCTCTCCCATTCTTGCAACAAGAAAAAAAGCTGAACAAACTAAAGATCATCAACTTTTTGATCCATCAGAGAATTGAGGTCACAGAGCCAATCTCTGTCCCCAAAACTGGAGAGACAGAAAAATACAAAGAATGACAGCTTCCTGGGAGCAGAAACTCACAGCTGGAGCCAATATCTGTTGTAGTGTGTGAAACTGTCATCAACTAGTTGCTGGAGGCTCAGTGTAAACTAGCTTGAGAATTGAAAGCTCTAAAGGGACCCAGTCTTAGGGAGGTGCCCACGCTTGTGTGAGTTTTGCCTTGGGGAATTCCACCAGGTCTCCATTGTGAAGATCAGAGAAAAGTACCCTCTAACTTCCAGCAGAGGAGGGGGAAAGTAACTGTTCTGAAATACACCCAGAGCTCTCTGTTCTCTTTAACAAGTTCTGCCCTCAAGGGAAACTACTTTGCCAGAGTCTAACCTACTGGGGTTTTACCAAGGCCCAGCTGGCCTGGGGGAAGAGAAACACCCAACTCAGGCTCACTAAAAGACTAAGACTTGATCAGAAAAGTAAAGAATGCTTCCCTAACCCCCACACCTCACCACCACATCAAGATGGCGCCTGTATAATAACGGGATTTCAGCTTAAAAAAAAAAAAAATTGGCTGGGTGCGGTGGTTCACGGCTGTAATCCCAGCACTTTGGGAGGTCAAGGTGGGGTGGATCACCTGAGGTCAGGAGTTCAAGACCAGCCTGGCCAACATTGTGAAAACCCATCTCTACTAAAAATACCAAAAAAATTAGCCAGGCGTGGAGGTGGGCGCCTGTAATCCCAGCTACTTGGGAGGCTGAGGCAGGAGAATGGCTTGAACCCTGGAGGCAGAGGTTGCAGTGAACCAAGATTGCACCATTGCACTCCAGCCTGGGCAACAAGAGTGAGACTCCTTCTCAAAAAAATAAAATAAAATAAAATCTACAAGCCTAAGACCCTATTCAAGGAGTCTCTAGGAAAACCCAAGACATCACAGGAGACAAAAACAAAAGTGTTCAAGAAAATTTTAATCTGTGACACTACAGCTACAGCAAACAGTGAACACAGCCTCACTCCTAGCCAGATAAACACACTAGAGATCAATCTATGTCATTTCCTTTTACCCAATACATCATATCTGACTTTCAACAGAAAATTACAAGGCATGATAAAAAAAAAAAACAAAAAAAAAACACCTTCTGAAGAAACAAATCAAACATCATACACAAACCTAGGTATGGCAGAGATGTGGGGATTATCAGACCAGAAATGTAAAATAACTGATTAATATGCTAAAGGCTCTAATGGAAAAGTTGGACAACATCCAAGAGCAGATGGGAAATGGAGGCAGAGAGATGGAAACTCTAAGAAAGAATCAAAAGGAGAGGCTTGAAATCTAAAACTTACTTATGCAGAATGACTGGAGGCAGTGATGGCAAGTGGGTCCTTGTGGTCTAGAAGAATCCTGCAAAAATATCTCTCTCCATCTCTCAAAGATTTGAAGGTAGACTAAATAATTCAGGCTCAAACTGCTTGATATGGTTTGGCTATGTCCCCACCCATATCTCAAATTGTAGCTCCCGTAATTCCCATGTGTCATGGGAGGGACCCGGTGGGAGGTAATTGAATCATGAGGGCGGGTCTTTCCCATGCTGTTCTTGTGATAGCGAATAAGTCTCACGAGATCTGATGGATTTATAAAGGAGAGTTTCCCTGCACACGCTCTCTTGCCTGCTGCCATATAAGACATGACTTTGCTCCTCCTTTGCCTTCCACCATGACTGTGAGGCCTCTCCAGCCATGTGGAACTGTGAGTCAATTAAATCTCTTTCCTTTATAAATTACCAAGTCTCAGGTATGTCTTTATTAACAGTGTGAGAACAGATTAATACACTGCTTTTGCTGCAAACCCTGCCAACCCAGCAATTTTGTCAGAAGCTTCTGTTCACATCTCTCAAGATGGAAACCTCTATTCCAAACTATATCCAGAGCTCTCTCAACACATAGGCCTGAGTTTAAATAAAGAAGAAACACATGCAAATATGACCATGGTTTCTGGTGCGCCAATTCAGGGCCAGTTGGTAGCAAGACCTTCCAGTACGAACTATACAATGGCTCCTATAACTGGTAATGATGTTGGAATTTGTAGAGCAGAAATTAAGCAAGGGATTCATGAAGCCATTGGATCAAGATGGAAAATTCGTGAAGCCATAAGGACCAAGATGGAAAAATTGAACTCTGGCTTAAATCAATAGATAATGGTATATGTGTTCAGCAAGTCAAGGATAACTCTCCAACCTTATTGGTTGGTCTGAGATTTGGGAACCAAGTACTCCAAATCAATGGTGAAAACTGTGCAGGCTGGAGCTCAGATAAAGTGCACAAGGTGCTCAAACAGGCTTTTCAAGAGAAGATTTCTACGTCCATTCATGACAGGCCCTTTGAATGGACAATTACCATGCATAAGGATAGCACTGGACATGTTGGTTTTATCATTTAAAATGGAAAAATAGACCGGACGTCGTGGCTCACGCCTGTAATCCCAGCACTTTGGGAGGCCAAGGCAGGCAGATCACCTTATGTCAGGAGTTTGAGACCAGCCTGGCCAATGTGGTGAAACCCCATCTCTACTAAAACTACAAAAATTAGCCAGGCATGGTGGTGCACACCTATAATCCCAGCTACTCAGGAGGCTGAGGCAGGAAAATTGTTTGAATCCAGGAGGCAGGGGATGAAGTGAGCCGAGATTGCACCACTCCACTCCAGCCTGGCCAACAGAGTAAGACTCCATCTCCGAAAGAAAGAAAGAAAGAAAAGATAACATCCATAGTGAAAGACAGTTCTGTAGCCAGAAATGGTCTTCTCACAGAACACAACATCTGTGAAATCAACAGACAGAAGGTCACTGGACTGAAGGACTCTCAAATTGCAGACATACTGTCAACATCTGGGACTCGAGTTACTATTACAATCATGTCTTCTTTTATCTTTGAACAGATTAAGTGGATGACACCAAGCATGATGAAAAGCCTAATAGACCACACCATTCCTGAGGGTTTAAAATTCATCACACGACGGAAATGTAGCTGAACGTCTCCGTTTCCTTCTTTGGCAACTTCTGTATTCTGCACGTGAGGCTTTCTGGGGCCAGCAATTGAGCATACGCTGCATGAGGATCTTTCCATCTCACATTATGGCTGGGAATCTTACTGTTTCATCTGATAACCTGTTCAGATTTCAAGAGAGCTGTAGCCTTATCCTGGTTTTATAGAGGTGAAACTTTCAAGAGATTTACTGACTTTCCTGGAATAGTTGCTTTTCCGGAAACCTGATACTTTCATAAGCCATTGTGATTAGAATGACTGATACAGGCTTAGCTTTGTGTGAGAACCAGTCACCTTTCTCCTAGGCCATGAGAAGTGCTGTTCATGTTACTTTAGTTCTATGGGATGTTTGCATTTTTAACACATTCTACCACAGTACACTTAGAATGATTGCCCTTGATAGTTTTTTTTTTTTTTAATTCTGTGTATGTGTGTATAAAATGCCAATTAAGAACACTGGTTTCGGGCCAGGCACGGTGGCTCACGCCTGTAATCCCAGCACTTTGGAAGGTTGAAGTGGGCAGATCACGAGGTCAGGAGATCGAGACCATCCTGGCTAGTAGAGATGGTGAAACCCTGTCTCTACTAAAAATACAAAAAAATTAGCTGGGTGTGGTGGTGGGCGCCTGTAGTCCCAGCTACTCGGGAGGCTGAGGCAGGAGAATGGCATGAACCCAGGAGGCGGAGCTTGCAGTGAGCCGAGATTGCGCCACTGCACTCCAGCCTGGGCGACAGAGTGAGACTCTGTCTCAAAAAAAAAAAAAAAAAAAAAAAAGAAAAAAAAAAAGTACACTGGTTTCGGCTGGGTGCTGTGGCTCACACTTGTAATCCCAGCACTTTGGGATGCTGAGGTGGGAGGATCACTTGAGATCAGGAGTTCGAGACCAGCCTGGCCAACATGGTGAAAACCTGTCTCTACTAAAAATATAAAACTTAGCCAGGCATGGTGGCACATGCCTGTAATCCCAGCTACTCGGGAGGCTGAGGCAGCAGAATTGCTTGAACTCGGGAGGTGGAGGTTGCAGTGAGCCAAGATCAAACCACTGTATGCCAGCCTAAGCAACAGAGTGAGACTTTGTCTCAAAAAAAAAAAAAAAAAAAAAAAAAACCACTGGTTTCCTTCCACGTAAGCATTAAACAGTGTATGTAGGTTGTAAGAGATGGTGATGATTGTTCTGAAATCTTAACTACCTTCACTTAATGTGCTTGAACTGTCGCCTTAACTGTGTTAAGCATCCAGACTAAAAGCTGAAATAGAATTACTGCTGCCTTTCTAAAACGCAAAATGTGGTTCTCTATTAATCTGAAATGTACACTAGCCCAGAGCAGTTTAATGATACTTAACGAGCTATAGCATAGCATAGCTGCTTAGTTGTATTTGAGATTTTCTAGTCAATGCATAATGGAAACTTCTTTCTTCTGAAAGTTGCCAGTAGCACTATAGATTGAATGTAAAAATTGTTCTAGTAAACAGGACACTTTTTTTTTTTTTTTTTTTGAGACAGAGTCTCACTTATTCCACTGCCCAGGCTGGAGTGCAGCGGCACAATCTCTGCTCAATGCAACCTCTGCCTCTTGGGCTTGAGCAATTCTCCTGCCTCAGCCTCTTGAGTAGCTGGGACTGCAGACATGCACCACCATGCCCAGCTAATCTTTTTATTTTTTGTGGAGACAGGGTTTCACCATGTTGACCAGGCTGACCTCAAGTGATCCGCCCACCTTGGCCTCCCAAAGTGCTGGGATTATAGGCATGAGCCACCACGCCCAGCCTGAACAAGATAAACTTTTGACTCCTCTTTTTTTTCATTTGTGGATTAAGTGGTATAATACTTAACTTTGGCATTTGACTCTGAAGATTATGTAACCTAGCCACTTCAGATGGTTTTAGAATATTTTTCTAGTAATTTGTTGCACTTCCTGATTCCTCCTTGCAAACTAAATGACAGGACACTTTATCCTGATTATTTTCTTGTTTTTGATTTATGCCTATTCTATTTTAATTAAATATGTACACATAAAGTTAAAAACAAAAATAAAAAATGAAACTCATGTATGCAACAAACATGTAATGGGAATACCACACAGAAAAAAAGAGAAAGAGACAGAAAAAAATATTTGAAGTAATAATGGATGAAAATTTTCCAAAATTAATGACAGATACCAAACCACAAAACCAGGAAGCTCAGAGGAGGATAAATACACCAAGCATGATAAATACCAAAGAAATGTACATCTAGAAAATCAAAGACAGGCCAGGCGTGGTGGCTTATGCCTGTAATCCCAACACTCTGGGAGGCCAAGGCAGGCAGATCACCTGAGGTCAGGAGTTCGAAACCAGTCTAGCCAACATGGTGAAACCCCGTCTCTACTAACAATACAAAAAAAAAGTTAGCTGGGCATGGTGGTGGGTGCCTGTAATCCCAGCTACTCAGGAGGCTGAGGCACAAGAATCATTTGTACCCAGGAGGTGGAGGTTGTAGTGAGCTGAGATCGCACCACTGCACTCCAGCCTGGGCAATAGAGCAAGACTCTGTCTCAAAAAAAAAAAAAAAAATCAAAGACAAAAAGAAAATCTTGAAAGAAGCCAGAAGATTATCTCAATAGATGCAGAAAAGGCCTTTGACAAAATTCAACAACGCTTCATGCTAAAAACTCTCAATAAATTAGGTATTGATGGGACATATCTCAAAATAATAAGAGCTATCTATGACAAACCCACAGCCAATATCATACTGAATGGGCAAAAACTGGAAGCATTCTCTTTGAAAACTGGCACAAGACAGGGATGCCCTCTCTCACCACTCCTATTCAACATAGTGTTGGAAGTTCTGGCCAGGGCAATCAGGCAGGAGAAGGAAATAAAGGGTATTCAATTAGGAGAAGAGGAAGTCAAATTGTCCCTGTTTGCAGATGACATGATTGTATATCTAGAAACCCCCACTGTCTCAGCCCAAAATCTCCTTAAGCTGATAAGCAACTTCAGCAAAGTCTCAGGATACAAAATCAATGTACAAAAATCACAAGCATTCTTATACACCAATAGCAGACAAACAGAGAGCCAAATCATGAGTGAACTCCCATTCACGATTGCTTCAAAGAGAATAAAATACCTAGGAATCCAACTTACAAGGGACGTGAAGGACCTCTTCAAGGAGAACTACAAACCACTGCTCAATGAAATAAAAGAGGATACAAACAAATGGAAGAACATTCCATGCTCATGGGTAGGAAGAATCAATATCATGAAAATGGCCATACTGCCCAAGGTAATTTATAGATTCAATGCCATCCCCATCAAGCTACCAATGACTTTCTTCACAGAATTGGAAAAAACTACTTCAAAGTTCATATGGAACCAAAAAGAGCCCGCATCGCCAAGTCAATCCTAAGCCAAAAGAACAAAGCTGGAGGCATCACGCTACCTGACTTCAAACTATACTACAAGGCTACAGTAACCAAAACAGCATGGTACTGGTACCAAAACAGAGATATAGATCAATGGAACAGAACAGAGCCCTCAGAAATAATGCCACTTATCTACAACTATCTGATCTTTGACAAACCTGAGAAAAACAAGCAATGGGGAAAGGATTCCCTATTTAATAAATGGTGCTGGGAAAACTAGCTAGCCATATGTAGAAAGCTGAAACTGGATCCCTTCCTTACACCTTACACAAAAATTAATTCAAGATGGATTAAAGACTTAAATGTTAGACCTAAAACCATAAAAACCCTAGAAGAAAACCTAGGCATTACCATTCAGGACATAGGCATGGGCAAGGACTTCATGTCTAAAACACCATAAGCAATGGCAACAAAAGCCAAAATTGACAAATGAGATCTAATTAAACTAAAGAGCTTCTGCACAGCAAAAGAAACTACCATGAGAGTGAACAGGCAACCTACAAAATGGGAGAAAATTTTCGCAACCTACTCATCTGACAAAAGGCTAATATCCAGAATCTACGATGAACTCAAACAAATTTACGAGAAAAAAACAAACAACCCCATCAAAAAGTGGGTGAAGGACATGAACAGACACTTCTCAAAAGAAGACATTTATGCAGCCAAAAAACACATGAAAAAATGCTCACCATCACTGGCCATCAGAGAAATGCAAATCAAAACCACAGTGAGATACCATCTCACACCAGTTAGAATGGTGATCATTAAAAAGTCAGGAAAAAACAGGTGCTGGAGAGGATGTGGAGAAATAGGAACACTTTTACACTGTTGGTGGGACTGTAAGCTAGTTCAACCATTGTGGAAGACAGTGTGGCGATTCTGCAAGGATCTAGAACTAGAAATACCATTTGACCCAGCCATCCCATTACTGGGTATATACCCAAAGGACTATAAATCATGCTGCTATAAAGACACATGCACACGTATGTTTATTGTGGCACTATTCACAATAGCAAAGACTTGGAACCAACCCAAATGTCCAACAATGATAGACTGGATTAAGAAAATGTGGCACATATACACCATGGAATACTATGCAGCCATAAAAAAGGATGAGTCCATGTCCTTTGTAGGGACATGGATGAAATTGGAAATCATCATTCTCAGCAAACTATTGCAAGGACAAAAAACCAAACACCGCGTGTTCTCACTCATAGATGGGAATTGAACAATGAGAACACATGGACACAGGAAGGGGAACATCACACTCTGGGGACTGTTGTGGGGTGGGGGGAGGGGGGAGGGATAGCATTAGGAGATATAACTAATGCTAAATGACGAGTTAATGGATGCAGCACACCAGCATGGCACATATATACATGTGTAACTAACCTGCACATTGTGCACATGTACCCTAAAACTTAAAGTATAATAATAATTAAAAAAAAAAAAAAAGAAAGAAGCCAGACGAAAGAAAAAAACACCGTACCTACAGAGGAACTAGGATTAAAAAGTATAATGGGCTTCTTTTTGAAACGAATGCAAGCAAGAATAAAGTGGAGTGAGATATTTAAAGTGTTGGAAGAAAAATAATCAATCTAGAGTATTGTACCCAGTGAAATTATCTTTCAGAAGTGAAGGAGAAATAAAGACACTCCCAGAAAAATACTGAGGAAATCTGTCTCCAATAGAACTGCCTTGCAAGAAATATTAAAAGAAGTTTTTCAGAGAGAAGGAAAACAATGTTGGTCAGAAGCTCAAATCTACATAAAGAAAGGATGGAGAAAGAATGAATGAAGGTAAATAAAATCTTTTATTTTTCTTATTCTTAATTGATCTAACAGATAGCAGTTTGTTCAAAATAATAATAGTAATAATGTATTTGGTGATTATAGCTTATAGATAAGTGAAATTAATGACAGCAATCATATAACGGACAAGAGGGAGGAACTGGGAGTACTCTGCTATAAAGTACAGTCAGGTGTCACTTAATGGCAGGGACGTATTCTGAGATATGTGTCATCAGGTGATTTTGTCCTTCTGCAAACATCACAGAGTGTACTTACACAAACCTAGATAGTATAGCCTACTGCACACCTAGGCTATATTGTACAGCCTATTGTTGCTAGGTTACAATCCTGTACAGCATGTTGCTGTACTAAATACTGTAGGAAATTGTAACACTATGGTAAATATTTGTTTATCTAAATACATAGCCAACATCAGAAAGGTACAGTAAAAATACAGTATTATAATCTCAGCCAGGTTCAGTGGCTCGTGCCTGTAATCCCAGCACTTTGAGAGGCCCGGGCAGGCAGGTCACTTGAGGTCAGGAGTTCAAGACTAGCCCAGCCAACATGGTGAAACCCCGTCTCTACTAAAAATACAAAAGTTAGATGGGCATGATGGTGACAGGTGCCTGTAATCCCAGCTACTCAGGAGGCTGAGGCAAGATAATTGCTTGAACCCAGAAGATGGAGGTTGCAGTGAGCTGAGATTGCACCACTGCACTGTGGCCTGGGTGACAGAGTGAGGCTCCAAAACAAAACAAAACAAAACAAAAAAACAGTATTATAATCTCTTATGGAAGCACCATTGTATATGCAGTCTATCATTGACTGAAACATCATTATACAGTGCACTATACTTGCACTACCTGCGAAGTTGTTCAATGTTATTTCCAAGTAAAACTAGATTAGTTGTAAATGTATATTGCAAATTCTAGGGCAACCAATTAAAAAGGTTAAAGAAGAAATATAATTGATAAGCTAAGAGAGGGAAGATAATTAAATCATATAAGATGCTCAATTAAAACCAGATAATGCAGAAAAAAGAGTGGAAAAAAAACAACAGCAAGGACAATGAGGCAATCAATACAAAATACTTATGAATACAGTAGATATTAAACCCACTATAAAAATAATCACTTTAAATGTGAATGGTCTAAATACACCAGTTAAAAGCAAAGACTGGCTGGGCACAGTGGCTCATATGTATAAACCCAGCACTTTGGGAGGCCGAGTTGGGCAGATCATGTGAGGTCAGAAGTTTGAGACCAGCCTGGCGAACATAGTGAGACCCCATCTTTACTAAAAATACAAAAATTAACTGGGCACGGTGGCCTACGCCTGTAATCCCAGCTATTTGGGAGGCTGAGGCAGGAGAATCACTTGAACCCAGGAGGCAGAGGTTGCAGTGAGCTGAGATCATGCCACTCCACTCCAGCCTGAGTGACGGAGTGAGACTCCATCTCAAAATAAATAAATAAATAATAAAATAAAAGACTGTCAGAGTGAATTAAAAAACAAGACCCAGCTATATGTTGCCTACAAGAAACCCAAATTAAAGATATAAATAGATTAAAAGTGAAAGGGCCTGGCGTGGTGGCTCACGCCTGTAATCCCAGCACTTTGGGAGGCCGAGGTGGGCAGATCACAAGGTCAGGAGATGGAGACCATCAAGGATAACACAGTGAAACCCTGCCTCTACTAAAAATACAAAAAAATAGCCAGACGTGGTGGTGGGTGCCTGTAGTCCCAGCTACTCGGGAGGCTGAGGCAGGAGAATGGCGTGAACCCGGGAGGTGGAGTTTCCAGTGAGCCAAGATCACACCACTGCACTCCAGCCTGGGCGACAGAGCGAGACTCCATCTCAAAAAAAAAAAAAAAAAAAAAAACAGTGAAAGGATGGTCAACAGATGAATGGATTTTAAAACGTAGTACATACATACAATGAAATATTATTCAGTCTTAAAAAAGAAGAAAATTCGGTATGACAATATGAATGAAACTTGAGAACATTATGCTAAGTGAAATAAACCAGTCACAGAAAGACAAATACTGCATGATTCCACTTACACGAGGTATCTAAAATAGTTAAATTCATAGAATCAAACAGTGGAATGGTGGTTGCCAGGAGCTGGGAGGAAGGGGAAATAGGGAGTCATTAATCAATAGGCATGAAGTCTTAGTCAAGCAAGATGAACAAGCTCTAGAGATCTTCTGCATAACATTGTACCCAGAGTCAACAATAATGTATTGTACACTCAAAAATCTGATAAGAGGGTAGATCTCACATAAAGTGTTCTTACCACAATTTTTTTAAGTAAAGAGATTGAGCTGGGCGCAGTGGCTCATGCCTGTAATCCCAGCACTTTGGAAGGCTGAGGCAGGTGGATCACTTGAGGGCAGGAGTTTGAGACCAGCCTGACCAACATGGTAAAACCCCGTCTCTACTAAAAATACAAAATTAGCCAGATATGGTGGCACATGCCTATAATCCCAGCTATTCAGGAGGCTGAGGCAGGACAATCGCTTGAATCTAGGAGGCAGAAGTTGCAGTGAGCCGATATCACACCATTGCACTCTAGCCTGGGCAACAAGAGTGAAACTCCATCTCAAAAAAAAAGACAAAAAAAAAAAAATAGAGATTGTAGCACTTGTGTATTGCTGATAGAAATGAAAATGGTACTGCTGCTGTGGAATAGTTTGGCATTTCCTCAAAACCTTAGACATAAAACTGCCATATGATCCATCCATTCCACCTCTAGATTCATACCCCAAAGAACTGAAAGCAGGAGGCTAAGCAGATACTTGTATACCAATGTTCATAGCAGCATTATTCACAATAGCCAAAAGGTAGAAACAACTCAAATGTCCATCAACAGATGAATGGATGAACAATACACGGTATACATGCAATGGAATGTTATTCAACCTTAAAAATGGGAAAAAATCCTGATTTATGCTATAACATAGATAAACCTTAAAAACATTATTGTAAGTGAAATAAGCCAAAGACAAAAGGACAAATATTGCATGATTCTACTTACATGAGGTAGCTAGAATAGGAAATTTATAGGGAAAGAATGTAACATAGAGGCTACCAGGGGCTGGAGATGGAGGAGAGGGAAATTGGGAGTTACAGTTCAGTGAGTTCAGAGTTCTTGTTTCCAAGTTCTGGGAATGGACAGTGGTGATACTTGGCAAACACTATGAATATTCCTAAGACCACTAAACTGTACACATTAAAATAGTTAAAATGGTAAATTTCATTGTGTATATTATGCCAAAATAAAAAATTTTGAAGTAAAAGGATGAAGAAAGTTACTAATCAATATTATGTGCTAACACTAATCAAAAGGAAGCTGGAGTATTTGTATTAATTTCAGACAAAGCAGACTTCAGAGCAAAGAAAATTATCAGGAATAAAGAGGGGCATTACAAATGATAAAGGGGTCAATTCTCCAAGAAGACATAACAATTTTTAATGTATATGTGCCTAATAACAGAGCATCAAAATATGTGAGGCAAAAACTGAAAGGACTGCAAGGAAAAATAGATGAATTCCCGATTATAGTTGAAGACTTCAACACCCCGGTATAAAAAATAGGTCTAGCAGGCAGAAAATCAGTAAGAACACAGTGGAACTGAACAGCACCATCAATCAACAGAATCTAATTGACATTTATTAATAATCCTTTCAACAACAGCAAAATACACAATCTTCTCAAGCTCACATGGAACATTCATCAAGACAGATCATATTCTGGGTCATAAAATCCACCTTAACAAATATAACGCTGAAGCACTGGATTTTCGCAGTGAGAAAGATGTATTGTGAGTCAACTCACAAGGAGAGAGGAGGAAGCTCTCTGCTCTGTCTCCGTGAGCTGGGGGCTGCAATGGGTTTTATAAGCATAGGGTAATGAGGCATGATGTGATTGGATCTTGCGATGAGATGATACTGGGAGGCATGATCTGACTGAATCCTGCCATGGGGTGGCACCAGGGTCCAATCTGATTGGATCCTGGATCCTGCCTGCAGTGTTCGCTCCTTAATTCAGTCCCCACTGCTCAGTCTGAGCACTTAGGTTCCACCCGTGGTTGCACGATTGGTTCACCTGGGCATGCTCACGTTACTTGAACTTCAATCTGGGGGTCCACAGCAACTGAAAAACAACTCGTAACTTTGTTCACTAAAAACTGAACAAGGTTGGTCTGATATGGCTACAGCTCCTCTCTCCAGTGCTTCCATCTTGCTTTATTTCTCACTTGCCCACCCTCTGCTCTTTCCTCTCATTCAGGGCTGAGTCTTCCAGCCTCCATCTTTCTCCCATGCTGGATGCTTCCTGCCTTCAAACACTGGACTCCAAGTTCTTCAGCTTTTGGACTCAGTAGGCACAGCAGGGATGGAGGTGGGGCAGCCTGTTGCCTCAAGATGGCCAGGCCTCCTCACCATTCCCATAAGGACATAGGCTTTGGGAAGAATAAAGCCAAAGAAACTTACTTCTGCTTTGAGTCATGTTCTACCCACCTGCCCCCATACGCACACCTCCCAAGGCAATAGACACAGAATTGTCCTGATTAAATAGAATAACTTGGCTGGGCGCGGTGGCTCACTCCTGTAATCCCAGCACTTTGGGAGGCCGAGGCGGGTGGATCACCTGATGTCAGGAGTTTGACACCAGCCCAGCCAACATGGTGAAACCCTGTTTCTACCAAAAATACAAAAAAATTAGCTGGGCATGGTGGCAGGCGTCTGTAATCCCAGCTACTCAGGAGGCTGAGGCAGGAGAATCGCTTGAACCTGGGAGGCGGAGGTTGCAGTGAGCCAAGATCGTGCCATTGCACTTCATCCTGGACAAGAAGAACCAAACTCTGTCTCAAATAAATAAATAGAACAACTAGCACAGCAGGAAAATATAGGGTGAGTGAGAAAAATAAATCACTCCATAGAAATTCCAGATTAAACCCCATACCTGGTAGGTCTAAAAACCAAACATTCAGACATACAAAGACAAAGGAACTTTCTATACTCTTATCGCTGAACTGAACACAGCTCCTATGTTTGTTGATGGCAGAATATGGCATAATTTTGCCAAGTCAGGGTAAACTCACTAACCTCTGAATCGTCTTCTCCTCTTTTGAGTAAATTCTTGGTTACTTTAAGGCTCACTTTCCCCCTTATTCGCACCTTCTTGGTGGTGATATGAGTTTCAAGGAGCTTTTATCTTGTCCTCAGAGAAAGAGAGACATTTGGCCTAGAGCGGCCTTAGGTCTATGCTTGTCTTTCCTGAAGGGTAGCCTGGCCCATTGGATGGTAGGGCTAAGCCCCAGCCTCACTACATCTGCTGCTACGGTCACAGCTGCTCCAGAATCCCTTTAAATTTACAGTGGTGCTATCATAATCAGAATAGTAATTTTAAAATTAAGCTGCCATGTTCCCAACAGACACACTGAGTCAGACCATGCAGCGGGAATCTGGAAACATACATTGAGCCGCCCAAGGGTATGTTATGCACAGAGAATCTGAGAACCAGTGGAGAGGCTCTTATGATCCTGTCTCTTGAGAATCTGACCCAAAGAGGAGGAGCCAGGGATCTGAGCCTGAATCCGGTCACCACCAATTCTTTTCCATGCCCTCAACTAGTCCATGCTTTCTCTCTAGCAGGAAAACAGATTTTACACCAGCACACAATCATCTCCATTGTGATCATTTTCATGATAAAATTCAGCCGGGCATGGTGGTGTGTGCCTGTAGCCCCAGCTATACGGGAGGCTGAGGCAGGAGGATCACTTGAGCCCAGGAGTTCGAACCTGTAGTGTGCCGTGAAGGTGCCTGTGAATAGTCGCTGCATTCCAGCCTGAGCAACATAGTGAGACCTCATCTCTTAAAAAAAAAAAAAAAAAATTCATGCTCTGAGTCCTTCAGGATTTATTCTTTGGGCTCAAAAATCTTTCCATTTTAATTTCCTTAGATTTCAAGCTCATGAATTTGTTTTAAAATCTACTTAGAGATTCAATCGATCTTTGCTGCATCTGCCTTCTTACTAAAGTGAAGCCTGCTTCAGCCTTGTGGGTCTAGTTCCCTAGGAGGATCCTGGAGTGCAGTGCCAAGTAATAGAGACAGAGGGAGATTAAGGAAACTTTAGTTAATACCTCAAAGTTTGCCCCAGTATAACTTTTTTTAAAAAAAGCATAGAAAAGAAAGAAAATCCTGATTCAACAGCTTTTCAGTGAGATGAACCCTACTTGGTTTAATTGGAGGGTGGGGGAAAAACAGTGGAATGTATCAGTTAAGAGAAGTGGCACTTTTTAAAACCTCAAAGAGCTGTCTGAGCCTCTATGGAAGATGCTGTTATGGGAGCCCCGATATCTGTTATTCTCTTCTTCTACCAATGCCAAATTTTTAGCTGGGCATGTGGTTGTCCAGAATCAAAACTACACAGTCTGGGCTTCACTTGCAGCTAGATGGAGCCGTTTCTGTATGCCCTAGGATGCAGTCTCCATCTCTGTGTTAGTAAGTAAAGTTAAACTGAGTCAGGCTGGCTGTTGTAACAAAACAATCCCAAACTTTCAGGAACTTTCCCAATTAAATGCTTCTGCCTCACCAATTCACAACTGCAAAAATGTGGAACCAACCAAAGGCCCATCAGTCAATGAGTGGATAAAGAAACTGTGGTGTATATATATATATATATGATGGAATACTAATCAGCCATAAAAAGGAATGAATATATGGCATTCACGGCAACCTGGATGAGACTGGAGAGTATGATTCTAAGTGGAGTAACTCAGGAATGGAAAACCAAACATCGCATGTTCTCACTCATAAGTGGGAGCTAAGCTATGAGGATGCAAAGGCATAAGAATGATACAATGGACTTTGGGGACTCAGGGGGAAAGGGTGGGAAGGGGGTGAGGGATAAAAGACTACAAATTGGGTTCAGTGTATACTGCTCGGGCGATGGGTGCACCAGAATCTCACAAATCATCACTAAAGAACCTGCTTATGTAACCAAACACCATCTGTTCCCCCAAAAAACTACAGAAACATAAAAAATTTAAAACAAAAAAAAAAGCATGTGCCTCACTCTCATAAAGCCCAATTCAGTGTTCCCAATCAGGGAACAGTCCCCCTTGCTTCTAACCAGGGACGCTGACTTCTGCTATCTGTGGCTCTGTCCTCCTAGAGAGCCTCATGCCCCTCTCTATTCAGCAAGCAGATGGAGAAGACAGCAGGGCTCCTGCAGAGAAGGTTTTTCTAGACTGGGCTAAAAGTGACAAATTCCATGGCCAGGATTGATGCTATGCTCACATCTAACACAAAGGCAGTGACAAAAGACATTACACGATCTAAGGGTGTGTCCTGAAGGATGAGGAACACAGGATATTGGTGAGCACTGAGAGCCACTGGCCCGTCCTACTTCCTCCCACCGTCAGGCGAGCCAGGTTCACAAACACTGGCTGATGCCTTCCACAGGCTGGGGCCATGCACATGTTTCTAGGGACATGACATGGCCCATGCCCAATCGTACCATCAAGGCGCTATCCGCCCAAAGGAGGAAGACGGATGGTCTACATATCCAAATAAAATAAGGCGGCAAGTACTACATACAGCTTAATAAAGGACTATGTCACCACAGAGGGAAAAATCCAATTCCTTCTGCCTGGTAGACGTGAGGCAGTTATCCTGGAGGAAGAGACGCCAGCACTGGGTCTTGATTGATGAAGAGAATGTCTCCAGAGAAGGGGTTTTAGGTAGAAGGGGCAGCTGAGCAAAGATGTCACAGCTCAAAGGTAACGAGCCAGGTGTGTCCGCTGTGTGACACGGACAGCGTGGAAAGCCCTGGAACCCTGTCTCCCAAAGCTATCCGGTCCTATCTGCCTATTGATGTCCTGCCCACCTGCAAAGCTCTGAGTCTTCCAAGAGGCCTTCCTTCACAGCCTTTCCTACACACACAGCATGCAGCCAGGGTCAGGCCAATGTCTAATTAATCCCCAGAACCCAGCAGAGAGTAGCCCAGCACCTTCCGCATAGGAGTGCCTTGAGAAGTCAAGATCAATGACTCCAGCCTCATTTATGTAATGGTAAATAGCACTGGTCTTTGTCAAATGGCTGGAAATTTTGTTCACCTCCTGGTGTCCCCGGAGCTAGTTAATGGTTAGTTTCTGATTGCCGCCTCATGCTGTCTGGCGGGAGGTTCTGAGTGACTCAGGGCTCTGCTGACATTCCAGGAGGTCACCGGAGAGACGGAGAGACATTCCCCCAAACGTGACCCCAGGCACACAGACAGCAAACACAGCAGGAAGCAGGAAAAGAGCCTTTCTCTCTTCTAAGTGCTCATACATCAACCAAAGAACCAAGATCCTTGTTGTTCCTCCAGATGAATTTATAATATGATGAACAGGAAAAATAAAATCTGCTCAGCCCATTTTTATAAGAGCAGATGCCCTTTCCCAAGGTTGATAGAAACCCGATTGGCGGCACAGAAAAGAACATTTCAGTCCTTCCAAATTTCTAAAAATATGCATACGATGTTAGATAGTTGACCACTAATGTTCCTAAGATAATAACACTAAGAAAGACTTGTTATTTAAAAAAGAAGTCAGTTGAGACATTTTAAAAATTCACATTTACATGACTTAAAAATTTAACCATGCATGAATATAGACTATATAAATGATATGTCCTCATTGGAGGGATAAAAGCATTCAGAATAAAAGCCATAATAAGTTAGTAGCTATTGCATTATTATGATCTTATGCACATCAATGATCTATTCATAGTAATCATCACAACTGAAGGTTAGTGAGCAATTGCTGTGTGGCAGACACCACACTCAGGGCTTCATGCATTTCCTCAGTGAATTCTCGCCGCAGCCCTATAACAGCAGTCCTGTTCCTATCTCGTTTTACAGATAAGGAGCAGAGGCCTCTGCATGGGACCTCTCAGGGAGAAAGTAACAAAGTCAGGCCTAGCATTCGAGTCTGTCTAAGTCTAAAACCTATGATTTTACCACCCACCACACTGTCTCCTTAAATGGCTCCTATGTGTCTATTCATTCCTTAAACGAGCATTTATTGAGCATCTGCATGCAAGCACTAGGCTAAGTCCTAGAGGATAGAAATGTGTACAAAAGTCTGCCCTCCGCAAACCTCTGCTCTAGAAGTTAGTATCCACTTTAGCTTTAAAATGGCTATGCAGATGGCTATTTTATTCCAAATAACCTCAAACTGGAAACAACCCAAATGGTCTTCAGGGGATAACTGGTTAAAAATCAACAGTGGCTGGCCAGGCACGGTGGCTCACGCCTGTAATCTCAGTACTTTGGGAGGCCGAGGTGGGCAGATCATGAGGTCAGGAGTTCAAGACCAGCCTGAACAACATGGTGAAACCCCGTCTCTACTAAAAATTACAAAAATTAGCTGGCTGTGGTGGTGCGTGCCTGTAATCCCAGCTACTCGGGAGGCTGCAGCAGGAGAATTGTTTGAACCAGGGAGTTGGAGGTTGCAGTGACCCAAGATCGTGCCACTGCACTCCAGCCTGGCAGCAAGACTCCCTCTTAAAAACAACAACAACAACAAAAAAAAATCAACAATGGCTGACCCAAACCACAGAATACCACTCACTAATAAAAAAGAACAAACTAGCCGGGCACTGCGGCTCACGCCTGTAATCCCAGCACTTTGGGAGGCCGAGGCAGGCGGATCACAAGGTCAAGAGATCGAGACCATCCTGGCAAACATGGCGAAACCCCGTCTCTACTAAAAATACAAAAATTAGGTGGGTGTGGTGGTACATGCCTGTAGTCCCAGCTACTCAGGAGGCTGAGGCAGGAGAATGGTGTGAACTCAGGAGGCAGAGGTCACAGTGAGCCAGAGATGGTGCCACTGCACTCCAGCTTGATGACAGAGCAAGACTCCATGTCAAAAAAAAAAAAAACTATTAATACAGAAATGACTTGGATGGATCTCAAAGGAATCCTTCTGAATGAAGAAGTCCACTAGCAGGTTACATGCTGTATTAGTCCATTCTCACACTGCTATAAAGAAATACCTGAGACTGGGTAATTTATGAAGAAAAGAGGTTTCATTGGCTCATAGTTCCTTAGGCTGTACAGAAAGCGTGGTGCTGGCATCTGCTCAGCTTCTAGGGAGGCCTCAGGAAACTTACAATCATGGCAGAAGGCAAAGGGGAAGCAGGCACATCTTACATGGCCAGAGCAGGAGGGAGGTGCGGGGGCAGGGATATGCCACACACTTTTAAACAGACAGATCTTGCAAGAACTCTGTTGTGAGCACAGCACAAGGGAAATGATGTAAACCATTAGAAACCACCCCCACGGCCGGGTGTGGTGGCTCACACCTGTAATCCCAGCACTTCGGGAGGCCAAGGCAGGTGGATCACTTGAGGACAGGAGTTCAAGACCAGCCTGGCCAACATGGTGAAACCCTGTCTCTACTAAAAATACAAAAATTAGCTGGGCGTGTTGGTGTGCACCTGTAATCCCAGCTACTCAGGAGAATCGCTGGAACCCAGGAGGCGGAGGTTGCAGTGAGTCCAGATCGCGCCACTGCACTCCAGCCTGGGTGAAAGAGCGATACTCTGTCTCAAAAAAAAAGAAAAGAAAAGAAAAAGAAAAAAGAAAGAAAGAAAGAAAAAGAAACCATCCCCATGATCCAATCACCTTCTACCAGGCCCCACCTGCAGCACTGGGGATTACATTTCAACATGAGATCTGGGCGGGGACACAGATCCAAACTGTATCACATACAATATGATTCCATTTATGCAACATTCTGAAATGACAAAATTACAGCAATGGGGAACAGGTTAGTGGTTGCCAGCAGGTGGGGAGGAGAAAGGAGGGAAGGTGACTTGAGGCTCTAGAGGGGTAGCATGAGGGAGCCTCCTGGTGATGGAGCAAAATCAAGATATATCTTGATTTGGGTGATGGTTATAAGAATCCACACATGTGATAAACCTGCCTACAACTACACACACACACACACACACACACACACAAATACATATAAAATGGGAAATCTAGGTAGGTTCTGTGACCCAATCTCAATATCATGGTTGTGATATTGTACTGTAGCTATGTAAGATGTCACATTGGGAGAAACTGAGGGAAGGGGACAAGGACCTTCCTGCACACTTTTTGTTTGCATCATCCTTGAATCTATAATTATGTCAATTTTTTTTTAATTGAATTACTCCTCAAGTTTTTTCCTTTATTGGAGGCTATTTAACCCCACTTGCAGCTGCAACATCTCAGCTGTTGCCCAGAGAAAGCGAAGTTCATTGGTACTTGGCCGACCCCAAATTGGAGTTATTGTAGCTAGTAGTTAGATAAGGCCAGCAATTAATCTGTAACTATCCTGTCTGCAGCTAAATGATAGTCTCCCATACAGAGATTTCTCTTTTTGGCATTTTTTGGTTTGTTTCTTGGGATTTTTTTTTTTTCTGAAGCATGGCCCTTTTATGAAATAGATCCATAAACACATTTTCCACTTTCATACATTTGCTAAGTTATGATCTAAAATATTTTTATGACACATACATATAAATAAACAACAACCCCTCCCATTCTAGGCCATGTTTCTGTTTGAAGAATTATCCCATTTGTTATCCTATTTCTATAGCATGCCACCCATGAACCTGATTCAAAGGCCAAAATCCCACAAAATAAAGATAGCATTTGGCTGATAATCCACTCCAAGCAAACAAAGCCTTCTCTTGGGTCAGTAGAAGTTTTGGTTCTGTTTTTACCAAAAATCCTCTCATTCCCTAAAGACAGACTCTGTCTTTACGCAGTCTATTTGTCAAATACAAGGTGCCATGAATTGGGAGACATCTTGATTTCAAGCATGAAATAGCAAGCATATTTCGAGGAATGAGATACTCCAGCATGAAGAAAGCCTGTCTCCGAATGGGTGGGCTGCAGAGGGAGCACCACCCTCCACATGGAGAAAGCATAACCCCTGCGTGTATTTGAAGAGCCATATACCCCTTAAGCCATTAAAAAAAAAATGTTTCATTCTTGATGATGTAATCCTCTCTATGAAAAATACAAAAATTAGCCGGGCGTGGTGGCCCATGCCTGTAATCCCAGCTACTCAGGAGGCTGAGGCAGGAGAATCCCGGGAAGCGGAGGTTGCAGTGAGCCAAGATCGCACCACTACACTCCAGCCTGGGTGACAGAACGTGACTCCATCTCAAAAAAAGAAAAAAACCCACAAGATCCAAACCAAGGTTTCCCTTTTGCACAATAAGAACGCGTGTGGGGAACAATTGTGTGGTTCTTTGCACTGCCCAGATGAGCTCATGAGAAAATTCCCAGCAAGAGCAGCGCCTGGGTGATGGCGGTGAGTCACCGGCAGAGGCCTGACTCCATCACAAGGCTGGGGACAGCGTTCCCGGCATGCAGTGTCAGCTACTTCCTGGCATGGAGTGTCAGCTACTTCCTGTCTGAGTCAGGCGCAGGCCCCGAGGGTGGCTCCGCTGAGGGAACTGGCACCTTCTCCACACACCTCCTTCGCCGAGTCACAGACAAGCTATGCAGAGAAATCTACCGGAGCCACGGCAAGGCTCTGGAAGAGGACAGAGAAGGGAGCAGCTTCCAGAGGCCACATCGGTTTGTCGCCATGACAACAGAGGGGCGGGGCCGTGACCACCTGCCCCTGGCACAAGGCCCCCAAGTGCCGAAGGGTCACTGAGTCTTAAGCAAAGAGCAAGAGGCATCAGCCTCATGGGACAATCCACCCAGAGTCGCCTAACCACAGACCCCAAAAGTCCCCTAGTGGACACCACCCAGTCCAGGAACAGATCAAATTCAAGAATATGTAAACTTGGGTGGGAAAAAAAATCTTTTCCTCCACTAGCCAGGAACTAATATTTAGCATTTTCATTATGAAGATAGGCAGCATACCACATGAGCAGCCTCTGTGTCGGTCACCAGTAAAAATCATAATATGTTCATGGCACATGATGGTTATTGCAGTTTTGTTTTTTGTTTTTTTTTTGAGACAGAGTCTGGCTCTGTCACCCAACCTGGAGTGCAGTGGTACCATCACAGCTCACTGCAACCTCGACCACCCGGGCTCGAGGGATCCTCCCACCTCAGCCTCCAAGTTGCTCGGACTATAGGCGTGTGCCACCACACCCAGCTAATTCTTTTTAGATGGGGTCTCACTATGTTGCCCTGGCTAGTCTCAAACTTCCGGGCTTAAGCAATTCTCCTACATCAGCCTCCCAAAGTGCTGGGGTTACAGGCATGAGCCACCACACCCAGCCTGTTGCAGATGTCTTGAAAGAGTATTTACCCTTCATCTCTACTGTGAAATTACGGTTGTTTTCAGACTTGCCACTATTGAATGCATTATTAAAGTGGTACATATATTTCTACATCGTAAATGTTTATATTTGGCATTTTGATATCAGTATTTCAAGAGTTCTCTCCTTCGTAATCCAAAGTGTGTTATTTTTTAAATGTAAACATTATTCTAAGAAGGGGCTCAGGATCAACCCTGGAGGACCAGAGGGGCTACAGCACACACAAAAAAGCTTCAGTACACTGTATTAGTGTGCTGAGGATGTCGCAACAAAGTACTTCAGATGGAGGGACTTACACAACAGTTTTTTAATTTTTTTTTTTTTTAGAGATAGGATCTCGCTCTGTCACCTAGGCTGGAGTACAGTGCTGCAATCATAGCCCACTGCAGCCTTGACCTCCTGGGCTCAAGCGGTCTTCCCCTTCAGCCTTCCAACTAACTGGGACCACAGGTAAGTGCCACCAGGCTCAGCTATTTTATTTTTTGTAGAGACAGGTCTCCCCATGCTGCCCAGGCTGGTCTCAGTCTCCTGGGCTCAAGTGATCCTCCTGCCTCAGCTTCCCAAAGTGCTGAGATTATGGGAATGAGCTGTCGCACCGGCCCACAACAAAAATTTATTTTCTCCTGATTCTGGAAGGTGGGAGTCCAAGATCAAGGTGTCGGCAGGACTGGGTCCTTTGAGGCTGCGGGAAGGAGCTATCCAGGTGTCTGTCCTTGACCTGTAGTCAGCTGTCTTCACTCCCTCTTCTCATCACCTTCTCTCTGCATGTGCCTGTCTCCAAATTTCCCTTTTTTATAAGGACATCAGCCATACTGGATTAAGGCCCATCCTAATGACCTCATTTTAACTTGATGGCCTCTGGAAAGACTTTTCTCCAAATAAGGTCACACCCTGAGGTGCTGGCGAGTAGGACTCCAACGTGCTGTTTTTGGCAGGGATGCAATTCAGTCCTTAACATACTCCAGTCCAATCTCCATGCTTTCCTTAGAGAACCCTCAAGCCCAGAGTGACTGACAGAACTGTCAACAGAACACAGGTTTCCCGACAGCCCCCTCAAGGTTTGAAGGGCTTTATACACTGTAAAGGGCCGTGCGATTGTAGGTTGCATGGCGGCGGGGATCCCTTAAAGAGCAGGCGTTCTCGGGAAGGCAACGCTTTTCACCCACGGGTGGCAAGCTCCTCGGGCCCCAGAAGAGGAACGGGGAAAACTCCAGGCCTCATTTTTGTTTGTTTTACTTTTGGTGGGCAGCTGCTTCTAGTCACATCTCTAATTTCACGGCCATCATGAGAATATGGATCACATCTGTGAGGTGGGCCCAGCAAACCCCGTCTCTACTGAAAATACAAAAAAATTAGCCGCACGTGGTGGCAGACACCTGTAATCCCAGCTACTTGGGAGGCTGAGACAGGAGAATTGCTTGAACCCGGGAGGCAGAGGTTGTCGTGAGCTGAAATCATGCCACTGCACTCCAGCCTGGGCAACAGAGTGAGGCTCCACTTCAAAAAAAAAAAAAAAAAAAAAAGCCTGCAATCTCAGCCCCACTCACTGCACAGGAGACATGTGAACACTTTAGGAGAATGGGAAGTATTTTCTTTTCCTTTATTTTCCTCTGAGACTTTCTCTATAAATCAAGCCCTCAGGCCTATTGTCCAAATCTGAAATAAAGCCTGCCTCCTCCATCTGACCCTGTTCTCAAGAGACCTGAAATGAAATCTTCCCACATAGCCCTTGGCATGCACAGATCCAGGATATGGAACAGGGCTGACGGAAACTCATGAAAGCACAGCGCGGCTGGGGCCCAGGTCGACCTATTTCTTTTTTCTTTTTTTTGAGACAGAGTCTCCCTCTGTCACCCAGGCTGGAGTTCAATGGCACGATCTGGGCTCACTGGAACCTCTGCCTCCCGGGTTCAAACAATTCTCCTGCCTCAGCCTCCCAAGTAGCTGGGATTACAGGCACCCACCACCATGCCCAGCTAAAATTTTTGTATTTTTAGTAGAGACGGGGTTCACCATGTTGGCCAGGCTGGTCTCAAACTCCTGACCTCAGGTGATCCGCCCGCCTCGGCCTCCCAAAGTGCTAGGATTACAGGCATGAGCCACCGTGCCCAGCCAGACTGACGTATTTCAACACGTTGGCCAGAATGCATAAATCCAAGGCATCATTCAGGGTTTAGTTAAGAAACCCCGATGTCCTAATAGGGCAATTGGAACGATCACCTTCACTAGACAGCCTGGAGTCAAGGGAGGGACACAGGAGACCATTACCTGCAAGTCCTAAGGGACAGAAGGGACATTTATCATCTCCCAGCACTGCCTTCATCAGCCATTCACCAAACTAGACAGTTACAGCCCCTGTCTGTGAACTCGGGGTGCTTTGCACTTGTTCATAACATACAACATACATGCACAATGGCAAGTAAGCACGTATGTAATGCTTCACATCTGCCCTCCCTGCTGGATGGCAGCCACCATCGGGGCAGGGGCAACTGTCTATCCCACCCTCTGGTCTATCCTCAGTGCTAAGCACAGATTCCCACACATGGTAGAGATTGGTAAATATTCCCTAAGTAAATAGGTACCTGCCTCTCCCACTTCCACACCCACCCTCTGATAGCCTATTGCCCTTTTGCAATACTTCTTCCCATTCAAGGTTGAACTAGGATTCATTTCAATTTAGCTTTAAAAATATAAATACATGCCCACAGTGTGGGGGAGAAAGCACACACAGATACCCATAGGCTCCACCCTCCACCCACGGGAGAAGGCGCTGTGGCTATTTGGGGTCACAGTATCCTGTTACCTTTATTGAACATTCACTTTTTATCAAAGGTCTGAGGTACACTGTCTCATTTATTCTACACAACCTTAGTTAGAGACTCATAGGCTTGGGGCTTGAACATCTTGTCCAAGATCACACACCTAGAGAGTACTGAACCAGGACTGGAGCTAAAAGAGGTCTGATTCAAACACTGGGCTTCATCAGCTCCCTGTGCTACCTGCCCGGAAGTGGCTTCATTACTCTCAAAGAATTCGGCTTCCCAGCCCTTCCGCAAGCACTGCTACCAGGCTCTTCATCCTGCCATTCAATAGACACATCTGAAGTTTGACTTCCCGCCTCTTGGCTCCCACACCCCCAGGAGGCAGCTGTCAGAGTCCTTCAGTGGCTAAAGGAACGTAGCCTGGGCCTCCCAGGCATCACACACGCACCAGGAAATCATAAATTGAAAGGTAACGCTCTTCGGTTCTCGTCCTTACCTTAGCAGAGGTGTTGGAACAAGGCTGACATTTACAATGCACAGGAGCTTGGCTACTTCAGCAATTGCATGGCCACTGGTGTTCTGGAAGAATCCATTTAAATGCTAGACACATTTTCTCTTGGCACTTGAAACTAGGTTCCAGACGGGGGAAGTGGTTGAATACTAATTACTTGTAGCAAGGCCATTGGAAGAGCATCTTTCACTTTCTTTCCCAATTTCAATAATCTGTTCCTGAATGCTTCTTATCCAAACCCACGTTTCAGAAAACAAGTTTAAGAACTGGGAAAATCTACAGTTAGGATGAAATGAATAAAAATGTCTTTCCTTCATTTATTTGGCAAATATTTAGTGGGTGCTTACTATCCCAGGCAGGGGGCTAGATCTTGGGAAGAGAGTGCTGAGTCAAAACTGGCCCAGTTCCTACTCTCAAGGTGCTTAAGTCTAGTGAGAGAACGGGCATGAAGCAAATAATGACACCAATAAAGGTGAAACTGCAACTCTGGGTGTCCTACAAAGGAGGCATGTGGTCCGATGAGCGCATGTCATAGGGCCTAATCTAGCCCGGAGGGTGGGAAGACTCCTTGATGCCATGACACCATCTGATGCATTAGAAACCACCTGGTAAAGAGGGAACCGGACCCTTACTATCCAGAGGAAACAGCAAGCACAAAGGTGTTACATGGGAGGGAGTGTGCAAAAACAAGAGTTCAAGAAAGCCTCTGTGGCCGAGGAGTGTAGGCTGAGCTGAGGCTAGAGAGACAGGCAAGAACCAGATGCCCCAGGACACGGTGAGCTGTGGTTAGGACGTGTGTCATTAAACGCAAGAGCAACAGGAAACCATTGAAGGGCTTTTAAACCTTGCATGACACAATCAGTTACCTCAAAAATATTCCTCTAGTTTCTTGGTAGAAGAATGAGTAATATTAGGTAACTTATACTTCTCATATGAAATGGGAAAAAGAAGGCATCATTATCTCCGTGAGAGATTTGTGGAGAGGGAAAGCAACTGGTTCCGGGTCGTAGCTCACCAGAAAGTAGAGCACAGAATTCTTGTCCCATGTTCCTGAGTCTTAAACACCCATATTCTTTTGTTGTTGTCGTTGTTGTTGTTTTGTTTTGTTTGTTTGTTTTTGAGACGGAGTTTTTGCTCTTGTTGCCCAGGCTGGAGTACAATGGCGCGATCTCGGCTCACTGCAACCTCCGCCTCCCGGGTTCAAGCAATTCTCCTGCCTCAGCCTCCCAAGTGGCTGGGACTACACGTGCACACCACCACACCCAGCTAATTTTTGTATTTTTAGTAGAGAGGGGGGTCTCACCATGTTGGCCAGGCTGGTCTCAAACTCCTGATCTCAGGTGAGCCACCTGCCTCAGCCTCCCAAAGTGCTGCGATTACAAGCGTGAGCCACCACACCTGGCACCATTTTCAAAATAAATAGATAAAACTGTGTCAGATAGAGTCACATCATATGGCCCTCTTCATTTATGCATTCTGACATGCTGACTTCTGAAGTTGTCCAGGTACAAAATAACTCAGTCAGTGACCAGAAATATGAGCCATTTAATGTCTACCCCTGGGAAGAGTTAAGTCTTACTGCCTCCTCTCTCCACACACTAAACCAATTTCTCTTCCCATTTCTCCACCCTAAGTCACTTCCACTTTCCTAACTGCAACGTCTTACCTATGGCAAAGCCTATATTCACTGCATTTTCCCCATGGCCTCATCACACAGATAACAGACCCCGGAATCTGGAAAAGGGAAAAAAATATATGTATGTGTTGCTCCTTAAGACAAGACCAAATCATCCTATCCAGGTGCAGTGGTGCATACCTGTAGTCCCAGCTGCTCAGGAAGCTGAGACAAGAGGATTTATTGGGCCCAGGAGTTCAAGACCAGCCTGGGCAACCATCTCTGAAAATAAATAAGTACATAAATCATCCTAGATCACTGAGTCTATAATTCAGTCTTAAATTTGTTTAGGAAAAGTTATTTATGTTCTTGGTATCTCAGTATCTTTATCTAACAGCTGAAAAAAAAAAAACGTAAAAATAATCTGCTTGGGCATATAGGGAAGTAAAAATATACTGAAGAATCGCCATTCAGGGAAGATGAAGACCCAGGGAGGGGAGCCCATGTTGACAACTACTGTTTTAAAAAGCAATTGTCATTTCTACATACTAGCAGTAAATAATTAAAAAATGAATTTTTAAAAATCTTTAACTTTTTTTTTTTTTTTTTTTTTTGAGACAGGATCTCACTCTTGTCTCCCAGGCTGGAGTGCAGTGGTACGATCTCAGCTTACTGCAGCCTCAACTTCCTGGGCTCAGGTGATCCTCCCACCTCAGCCTCCCAAATAGCTGGGACTACAGTCATGCACCACCATGCCCAGCTAGTTTTTTGTATTTTTAGTAAAAACAGGGTTTTGCCAAGTTGCCTAGGCTGGTCTCGAACTCCTGGGCTCAAGCAATTGGCCTGTCTCAGCCTCTCAAAGTGCTGGGATTATAGGCATGAGCCACATCACCCAGCCTCTTTAACCTCTTTATGTTTGAAATTTGTGAATGTATGATCCAGTACAAAAAAAAAAGTTAACTAGTCTTTTTTATTAAATATATTTATATAATTTCTATTTATTTATTTATTTGGAGACGGAGTATCATTCTGTCACCCAGGCTGGAGTGCAGTGGCACAATCTTGGCTCACTGCAACCTCCACCTCCTGCGTTCGAGTGATTCTCCTGCCTCAGCCTCCTGAGTAGCTGGGATTACAGGTGCACGCAAACATCCCTGGCTAATTTTTGTATTTTTAGTAGAGATGGGGTTTCTCCATGTTGGCCAAGCTGGTCTCAAACTCCTGACCTCAAGTGCTGGGATTACAGGCATGAGCCACCGTGCCTAGCCTTATATAATTTTTATAATAGTATAGAAAAGCACCCCCAAAAAGGTTCCTAGCATGAGGCATAATAGCAGCCACTTGAATTAAAAACCCTCTACGCAATCTCCAAAAAGAAGTTTATCAAGAAGTACAAATAAGACACACATGCTTTCAGCATTACTGGGATACAGAGTAACTTCAAATGATGCCAAGAATTCCACACCTAATCTCAACATAACCACCTTAGGGGCTCTGCCTGTGGCTTCCAGACCATGGAAGTGGCGTGGGGGAGGGGAGACAGGAAAATCCTTGAAAAGCAGCGGACATGAGAACTGCTCCGTCGCACAGGGCCCCATGCTCAGGACACTACACATGGTTTAACACTGTCATTGCCAGCTTGAAATTCTTAGTAATTTGATTTTTTTTTTTTTTTTTTTTTTTGAGATAGGGTCTCGCTCTGTCACCCAGGCTGGAGTGCAGTGGCACCATCTCGGCTCACTGCAACCTCTGCCTCCCGGGTTCAAGCGATTCTCCTGCTTCAGCCTCCCGAGTAGCTGGGACTACAGGCGCCCGCCACCATGCCTGGCTAATTTTTGTATTTTTAGTAGAGACGGGGTTTCACCATGTTGGCCAGGCTGGTCTCGAACTCCTGACTTCAGGTGATCCGCCCGCCTCGGCCTCCCAAAATGCTGAGATTACAGGCATGAGCCACTGCACCCGGCCAGTAATTTGATCTTTGAACTGATGTTTGAGAAGTGAAGCTTGCTGCCTTGATGGCTGGGAATTCAGCAAGTGAGTAGAAGGGGCTGAAAGGAAGCGTGCTATGTCTACAAGTGAGTAAGTAAGAACGCCAACAGCCCCGAGACACCGCACTTTCTGTTTGACCCAGAACTTGCCCTGACTGCAGAAAGAAGGCAATGACGTTCTAAGAAACTCTAACCACTAAGGAGCCTCATCCTGACCTCCTACTTCCCTGTATTAGCCAAGTACACATGCTGAAGTGAGGAAAGGGAAAGCCAGTGAAACCCACAGTTCCTTCTCCTTTCAGACCTTCCTCACTCATTAGTACGTACGTCCAGGGTAGCCAGCAATGGCAGAACATGAGCGTTATCAAGCGGTGAATAAAAGCAGTGAGTTTGTTTTGTACAATATCTCCATTGTTCTCATAAGAACAAGATACATATGCCTATACAAGCTGGGAAATACCAGTTGTGTGATTGTGGTGAACCCACTTATGAGTTAAATGCGCTTATGTTTGCATGTAAAATTGTCACTGCACAATATAAGGACGAACTGTAGAACTCATGCTAATAACTTGTTTCTTTATTTTGAATAACATTAAATAGCAAATTTTAAAAAACAACATGACAAGAGAAAAAAGGTGAAAGATTTATAATTTAGCACCTCTAAATTCTGCTTTTTTCTTTCACATAGTCCCCAAATTCCGCAGACAATCTTGCGTTACGCTGTCAATGCTGTGAGCCAGCATTCTCCCTGTGAGCATAATGGAGGCAAGGCCTGCTTCGCACGCATGAGACCAAGGCCATCATGCGGGGCCCCAGGTTTGGCAGGGACCCCTTGCCCTTTATTTGGGTTAATGCTCTGCTGTTGCTGTTTTGAAATACTGAATAAATTTTGAAAACGGAGTCCTACATTTTACTTGGACTCTGCAAAATATGTGGACAGTCCTGGGTGAAAGAAGAACATTTGCATTGAATTAGAATTGGAGATCTCAATATGAATGTATATTTCCAATAATACAACCATATATAGATATAGATACACACACATACATATTATAGTTATTGTATGGTTTTATTTACGCATATGTGAACACACACACATATTTATCCCAACTCTGGCCACTGAAACACCCTAGAAGCAATGACACCCACTGGCAATAACACAACTACAACCAGATCTAGGACCGAGGGCTTGTTAGAGACATCGACAGTCTTAGAGCTGAGACAGGGAAGGCACAAGATGAGCCTGGAGTATTGTACAGGCCTAGAAATCAACGACGTCCTCAAAGCAGAAGAGGAGAGCATGCCGAAGGATACAGGAGCCAGCCTGAAGATGCTCCTATGACCCAAATCTGGGACAATTTGAGTGTCAAAATAAATAAGGACACTATGGATTATAACTCATTAAATATAATAGGAATCAATGAATCCATAAAATAAACAGTCTCAAGCTCAGTGGCTCATGCCTGTAATCCCAACAATTTGAGAGGCCGAGGCAGAAGGATCACTTGAGCCCAAGAGTTTGAGACCAGCCTGGGCAACATAGTAAGGCCTTGTCTCTACAAAAAAATTTAAAATAACCAGGCGTGGGGCACAAGCCTATAGACCTAGCTACTCAGGAGGCTAAGGCAGGAGGATTCCTTGAGCGCAGGAGGTCAAGGCTGCAGTGAGCTATGATCATGCCACTGCACTCCCACCTACGTAACAGAACTAGACCCAGTCTCTAAAAAATGATAATAATAAATAGAAAAACAAAAAAAAAAATGAAGGACAAGAGAAGTCTCCTCCTGACAGCAGAATCCTGAACAATAAACACAGAAGGAGGGGGTGGAGCTGGAAAATTATGTTTCTGCAATCATTATAGCAAAGATTGGTTGAGACAAGAATCATCAGTGAAAGCTAAACTTAAAAAGAAATTTGGATGAGGAGTAGGATGTCTTCGTGGCACCAGTGTTTCCCCATAGATTGCTTATTAGCTCCAAGGGAGAAAATAGTAAATATACGGTGGAAAAATTGAACAATACCTTGGGCAGGTGGTCAAAATAATTACCCGCAAGAGGCAGGTGGGGTGACAGGCCTTCATAGGTGATACCCCAAGAGACACAACATGACTTCCATAATATTCTAGCCAGGGATGTATAGCCTAAACATAATAGTGGAGAAACATGAGACAAAATCAAATTGAGAAACATTTGATAAAATAACTGGCTTGTATTCTTCAAAATTGTCAATATCATGAAAAACAAAAAGCTTAAGAAACTATACCAAATTAGGTGAGGGGCGGTGGCTCATGCCTGTAATCCCAGCACTTTGGGAGGTTGAGGCAGGCAGATCACATGAGGCCAGGAGTTTGAGACCAGCCTGGCCAACATGGTGAAACCCCGCCTCTACTAAAAATACAAAAATTAGCCGAGCATGGTGGCATGCACCTGTAGTCCCAGCTACTCGGGAGGCTGAGGCAGGAGAATCGCTTGAACCCGGGAGGTGGAGGTTGCAGTGAGCCGAGATGGCGCCACTGCACTCCAGCCTGGGTGACAGAGTTAGACTCCATCTCAAAAAAAAAAAAAAAATGAAAGAAAAAGAAACTATGCCAAGTTAAAGAAAACTAACACAAATTGACAACTAAATGCAGTAGGTGTCTCTGAATGAGACCGTGTACCTCCAGGGAAACAATGCTAGAAAGGACATCATTAAGATGATCGATGACTTGGAAGATAGACTACATTATATACAAGTATTCTATCAAGGTCAAATTTTCTGAATTTGGTAACTATACCATGGTTATATGAGAGACTCTCTTTGTTCTTACAAAACACACACTGAAATATAAAGGAGTAAAGGAGCCTGATTTATGCAATCTACTCTCAGATTATTAAGGAAAAGATGGAAAATAAAAATAACATACACGTATAGAGAGAATGAAAAAGAAAGAGGGAAACAGAATAAACAAGTGAATGTGGCAAAATGTTTTGTTAAATGTTGAAAAACATTTTGAGTAAAGGGAACAAGGGGTTTCTCTGTACTATTCTTACAGCCTTTCTTTAATTTGGAAATTACTTCATAATAAAAAGTTAAAAAATCAAATACCTAAGAATAAATTGATAAAATAGGTGTAATACATCTACACAGAAGACATAAACATTAAACAAAAAACCCTAAATATATGAAGGAATAAGCCATATTCTTAGATTGAAAAAGTCAATATTGTAAAGATATCAGTTCTTCCCAAAGTTACCTATAGAGTTTATGTGATTTAAATTAAAATCCTAGCAAAATTTTCATGGAAATTAAAAAGCTTATTCTAGAATCAAATGGAAATCCAACGGGCCAAGAATAGCCAAGACAATCTTGAATAAGAACAGAGTAAGATGACTTACTCTACCCAATGTCAAACTTGATTTTAAAGCTACATTAAGGGAGTGTGATATTGGTGCAAGTTTAGACGAATACGTAATGGAACATCTAGAAGCAGTCCCTCTAGATTAATGACAAAGATGGCACTCAAGTGCAATGGGAAAAGGCAACCTTCCAAGAGTGGTGCCAAGTCAATTCGATATGGGGAAAAAGTGACACCAAACCCTTGTCATCATTCACAAAGACCAATTCCAGGCAGGTTTTAGGTACAGCTAAAAGGCAAAACCACAAGGCTTCTCGAGAAGATAACCGTGGCTGGACACAGTGGCTCACGCCTGTAATCCTAGCACTTTGGGAGGCCAATGCTGGAGAATCACTTGAGGCCAGAAGTTCAAGACCAGCCTGGCCAACATGGCAAAACTTCATCTCTACTAAAAATATAAAAATTAGCTGGGCATGGTGGCACACGCCTTTAATACTAGCTACTTGGGAGGCCAAGGCACGAGAATCGTTTAGGCCCAGGAGGCAGAGGTTGCAGTGAGCCGAGATTGCACCATTGCCCTCCAACCTGGTGACAGAGCAAGACTCTGTCTCAAAAACAGAAGAAAATAACCATTATTAAGCTCTTGTCTCTCAGCTCCACACCCACACTTCTTTGTCCTGCATTGTAATTCTGGGGCCAGGACTCTTCATTTCCCCCTTGCTGGTTGGCTTCCTGCTAGAATTTGCAATAGGAGCTGCTAGAAAGAGATGGAAATTCAGGAGGAGCGAAGTAGAGATGTCCTCTGCACTGTTACCATCACCTGGGCAGTGTTGGGAACAAGCCCCCCAAAATCTGGCCATAAACTGGCCCCAAAACTGGCCATAAACAAAATCTCTGCAGCACTGTGACATGTTCATGATGGCCATAATGCCCACGCTGGAAGGTTGTGGGTTTACCAGAATGAGAGCAAGGAACACCTGGCCCACCCAGGGCGGGAAAACCGCTTAAAGGCATTCTTAAGCCGCAAACAACAGCATGAGTAATCTGTGCCTTAAGGACATGCTCCTGCTGCAGTTAACTAGCCCAACCTATTTCTTTAATTCGGCCCATCCCTTCATTTCCCATAAGGGATACTTTTAGTTAATTTAATATCTATAGAAACAATGCTAAGGACTGGCTTGCTGTTAATAAATACGTGGGTAAATCTCTGTTCGGGGCTCTCGGCTCTGAAGGCTATGAGACCCCTAATTTCCCACTTCAACTTCACACCTCTATATTTCTGTGTGTGTGTGTGTCTTTAATTCCTCTAGCGCTGCTGGGTTAGGGTCTCCCCGACCGAGGTGGTCTCGGCAGGCCAGCATTTTGGTTCCAGCCTTCAGCTTCTTTCAACTCCCCTGGAACCAATCTCATCACAGCCCCTCTGGGCTATTAGCACCGCTGGACAGCAGCTCCCCCTTAGAAGTCTGAGTCTCCTCGCTGTGAGGGATCCCTTCTCTGAGCTACTAGGTTTTGATAACACCACCCTCTTGCCTTTGCTCCTCTAGTCTTTGAGGCAGTACCCATTTCTGAAGCTATTCTCTCTGTTACCTTAGGGCTTCTGTTTTGGTTTTCAGACTCTGAAACCTATGTGACCATTTCTCTTTATTAGATTCTCTCCCTTGAAATTTATAGTGTGATTTCTGTTTTCCTAACTTGACCATGACTGATACAATAACACACACAAATATCCTTATGGCCTTAGGGCAGGGAAAGATTTCTTAAGCAAGACACAAAAAGCACTAACCATAAAGGGAATAGTTGATAAGTTAGATTACATTGAAAATATCCAAAGACAGCTTTTTTTTTTTTTTTTTTTTTTTTTTTGAGATGGAGTCTCGCTGTCGCCCAGGCTGGAGTGCAGTGGTGTGATCTCTGCTCACTGCAGGCTCCGCCCCCCAGGGTTCACGCCATTCTCCTGCCTCAGCCTCTGGA
Organism: Homo sapiens; assembly: GCF_000001405.40. NCBI lineage: Eukaryota > Metazoa > Chordata > Mammalia > Primates > Hominidae > Homo > Homo sapiens. The sequence goes on along the minus strand of NC_000010.11, from coordinate 6,262,344 downwards.
GCAGCTGGGACTACAGGCACCCCCCACCCCACCCGGCTAATTTTTTGTATTTTTAGTAGAGACAGGGTTTCACCATGTTAGCCAGGATGGTCTCGATCTCCTGACCTCGTGATCCGCCCGCCTCAGCCTCCCAAACTGCTGGGACTACAGGCGTGAGCCACCACGCCCGGCCAACAGCTTTGTTTTTACTTTTATTTTAGGTTTGTGGGTACATGTGAAGGTTTGTTAGGTAGGTAAACTCATGTCATAGGGGTTTGTTGTACAGATTATTTCATCACCCAGGTATTAAGTCTAGTATCTAAGAGTTTTTTGTGTTTTTTTTTTTGTTTTTTGTTTTGTTTTGTTTTTGAGACAGAGTCTCACTCTGTCCCCAAGGCTGGAGTGCAGTGGCATGATCTCAGCTCACTGCAACCTCCGTGTCCCAAGTTCAAGTGATTCTCCTGCCTCAGCTTCCTGAGTATAGCTGGGACTACCGATGTGTGCCATGATGCCTGGCTAATTTTTGTATTTTTAGTAGAGATGGAGTTTCGCCATGTTGGCCAGGCTGGTCTTGAACTCCTGACCTCAAGTGATCTGCCTGCCTCGGCCTCCCAAAGTGCTGGGATTACAGGTGTGAGCCACCATGCCTGGCCTAATTTTTGTATTTTTAATAGAGATGGGGTTTTACCATGTTGGCCAGGCTGGTCTCAAACTCCCAACCTCAGGTGATTTGCCCTTCTCGGCCTCCCAAAGTGCTGGGATTACAGGTGTGAGCCACCACGCCCAGCCCAAAATAGTTATCTTTCTGCTCCTTTCCCTCCTCCCACTCTCCTCTGTCAACAAGGCCCCAGTGTCTGCAGTTCCCTGCTTTGTGTCCATGCATTCTCATCATTTTAGCTCCCACTTGTAAGTGAGAACATGCAGTATTTGGTTTTCTGTTCCTGCATTAGTTTGCTAAGGATAATAGTCTCCAGCTCCATCTATGTTCCTGCAAAAGACATGATCTCATTCCAAAGACAGCGTTTAAGGGATTAAAAGGCAACTGACAGATTAGGAAAAGCCATTTGCTACTCATTTAACAACAAAAGAAAGACCTTGCATCCAGAAAACATCCTACAAATAAGGGCAGAAAATTCAGTTTTAAAAAATGAGCAAGACTTCAAAATGTACTTCACAAAAGATGGTATCCAAATGTCTAGTAAACATATGAAAAGACAACCTCGTTTGTCATAGATGGAATGCAAATTAAAATCGTGAAGAGATACCACCACTACGTACCATCAGATAAGCTGAAATTAGAAAGACTGGTGGTACCAAGTGATGGTGAAGATGCAGGGAACTGACCTCCTGTCCACTACAGGTGGGAAGATAAATTAGTGCCACTGTTTAGGAAAGTTGTTCAGCACTAGCTACCAAAATTGAACACATGCCTACCACCTCCCATTTACATATCCAATGTAATCTCACTCTCATTTACATATCCAATGAAATGACTGCCCTTTTTCAGTGGAAGATGTGTGCAAGAATCATTATTCATAATAGTAAAAAAACTGGAAAAACACACATGACCAAATACAGTAGAATGGAAAATAAACTGTAGTATATTCATACAATAAAATACTATACAGAAATGAGAATCAATCACTACCTAATGAAACAGCAAGTATGAATTTCAGAATTTAATGTTGAGGAAAATAAAGTCACTGAAAGATACATACAATGTGATTTATGTAAAGTTTAAAGTAAAACAAACAGGCGAAAGAAAACTATAGCACTTGGGGATACATGCTTAGATGGTAAAACTATAAAAAGAAGCAGAGAAGCCACTACCACATATATCAGGATGGTGGTTACTTCTGGGGACAGGAAGCAGGTGGCAATTAAAAGGGGGCATGAAGGAGCCTTCTGGATGCTGGCAATGTTTGAATTTTTTTTTTTTTTTTTTTTTTTTTGAGACGGAGTCTCGCTCTGTCGCCCAGGCTGGAGTGCAGTGGCGCAATCTCGGCTCACTGCAATCTCTGCCTCCCGGGTTCATGCCATTCTCCTGCCTCAGCCTCTCCGTGTAGCTAGGACTACAGGAACCCGCCGCCATGCCCAGCTAATTTTTTTGTATTTTTAGTAGAGACGGGGTTTCACGTGTTAGCCAGGATGGTCTCGATCTCCTGACCTCGTGATCCACCTGCCTCAGCCTCCCAAAGTGCTGGGATTACAAGCGTGAGCCACCGTGCCCGGCCAATGTTTGAATTTTTTAACCTCATTGTATACATCTTTGTTTGGCGATAAATTATAGAACCATACTTTACATTTTCCATGCTTTTTTTCATGTATGTTGTACTTCACCATAAAAAGATTACAATGTGGACAATAATACACATATCTTAGGATGACCATTAGAATTAGAATTAAATGAGCCAGGGTGTACAGAAGGCTTTGCTAAGTGCCTGCCATTCAGCCAGCACTCATCACATAATGGATATTACTATCTGATGTTCCACTACTGAACAATGAAAATAACTACTAATGCTGGGCTAGGAGACAGCAAACTCTAATGAGAGGACTTAAAATTGTTTCTAGTATATTCTCAAAAACTGCAGGTAAAGGCTGGAGGTAAGATTTAAGTGTGTTTGCTGCAGGTAAATGCCAGGAGACAAGGTGACTACCACAATGCTTGGTACATGAGAGTCACTCAATAATTACTAGAAATATGGATGGAAGGATGGATGGATGGACGGATGGATGGATGGGTGGATGGATGGATGGATGGATGGATGGATGGATGGATGAGTGGATGGATGAGTGGATGGATGGATGGATGGATGGATGAGCAGATGGATGGGTGGGTGGATGGATGAATGGAATTATGGGCTGATGAACAAATGGATGGATGAATGAATGGATGAGTGGATGGATTTATGAATGGATCAATGGGTGGATGGATGGATGAGTAGATGGATGGGTGGATGGGTGAGCAGATGAATGGATGAGTTGGTGAATGGATGGATGGATGGGTGGATGGGTAGATGGATGGATGTAGATGGATGGATGGATGGTTGGGTGGATGGATGAATGGTTGGGTGGATGGATGGATGGTTGGGTGGATGGATGGATAGATGAATGGATGGGATGAATGAATAAATGGATGGGTGGATGGATGGATGGATGGATGGATGGATGGATGGATAGATGGATGGGATGAATGAATAAATGGATGGGTGGGTGGATGGATGGATGGTTGGATGGATGGATATAGATGGATGAATGAATGCATGGGTGGGTGGATGAGTGTATGGATGGATGAGTGTATGGATAGATGAACTGAAACAAGAGTGGTTTTGATGAAAATCTTGCAACCCCAAGGGTGTAAATACTTCCTCCATGCAGTTTTCTCTCTGCCCAAAGCTAAACACAGCACCATATATGATAGAGTGTAATTTTAGGCTTTGTGGTAACAGGAAAGTTGGTGGCCATTTTTGCAGGCCTTTCCATGGTCATTCCTGGCTGTTTACTGACCAGGGGAAAGAATTATGTCAGCCTGGATCTCTAACCTACCACCAAGTGGGAAGAGAGTTTATTTCACCTACGAATTTAATGTTCTGCCAAGGCCATCAATCCAGGCTGTGGGCAAAGCATGAGAGTAATTTTTCCACTCAGACAATCCCCTACAGGGAGCAGAGGCTAAGCTAATGAACATCCAGTGGATATTCAAACAGGAAGAGAAGACACTAGGCTAAGAGCAGGTTTTCCTAAGACAGCCTAAAATGACAATCAGTCATCCAAAATGAGGACCACTGAGGCCACAATTTCCAGTCCAGTATTATGTTTAATTGCAGACTTCAGAGTGCTGTTCATTCAAGGGAAACATCCCTAAATTCACCAAGTGGTCCCTATGGTCTACTTAGTGTGGCCTGTCTGGTCCTCAGGCCCAGAAACAGAGAAGCCCATTAACTGCACAGGCACATGCTCCTGCTGTATGGCAGAGGCCTTGTGCATTTCTGTCTTTTTTGTTCCTGTTATAAAGCAAGACATACCTGCTCATAAAATCTGAATGTCTCCATGATCCCTTCACCCCTCTTCCCCAATCTGAAACTCTCTTATAGTAACACAATAAAGAGTTGGGTCTGTTTCCTCCCAGACTTTTTTCTGTATGTGCATACACATATTTCTTTTTCCAAAAAAAAAATAAGATCAAAATATATATGCTGCTCAGTAGACTGCTTTTCTCACTCAGTGCTTACCATGAAGAAATTCCCGTCGATGTACTTTGAACTCTACTTCCTTCTTATTGATGGCTGCATAGTAAAGCAGGCCGTCTGCTTCTACCCGCCGGTCCCTTTCTCATTTTGGAGTGTCCATGCCTGGGCTTAGGTGAGCTTTTGCTTTAGGTGTTGACCCCTATAACTCTCTTCTGAGACCTGTCCTTGGGCTCCCAGAGCCATTGTGCTAGGAGGGGCTGAAGGATTACCAACACCTGGCTCCTTGTCTCCAGTGGGTGTAATCTACACTCCAGAGTCCCGCATGGGGATCAGGTGGGTGCCAGACCCGATCTGAAATTACATCCTGACTTGTTCCTTCCATCTCCCTTCCCAGCTTCCCTACTCCTTCACAAGGTTGTCCTAGGAACTCTTCCATAATAAATCCCATGCACAGAAACCCTCATCGCAGGGTGTGTCTGGGGAAGGTGACCCACAGCATGCAATACTCCATGGCACAGGACATGCCACCATTTACCTAACCAACCTCCTATTAGTGGACTGTAATGTTTTTTCCAATTTTTCCCATCACAGACCATTCTGGACACGGGCTAGCACACTAATCCTACAACAGGGTCCTCAACTGCCCTCCATCCTGGCCACTCTTACAAGTCCCTACCATGGTCAAGTCACTTGTCTGACCTCCCATCGTCATGATTTAAAAATAAGAATGTAAACATGGCTTCAAGGAACCCACCACCTTTATTAGTGACCATGAATATAAATGACTCGTGTGCTTGTTTATTTTTCCCAGAGTTGAGTTAGGATCAAAAAGTTCAGCCCACACAACTTCCTGAACCCCCTTGAGCTCAGACTCCCAGGTAATCAATGGTTGTTGTCACACAGCCTAGATACAATAGGCTGGAACCTGCTGGTGTATTTTCAGATCAATGACTCAGAAAGGGTTCTTTGTATGACAATCTGGGGTCTCACACAGCAGTGCCTGTCTCTTCCCAACTCCTCGGATGGCCCCAACTAAAGATGAAATTGTGATGATGGAAACACTTCATTTATGATGCTGCTGTTGGGAACGAATTGTGAGGACAGTGAAAGCAAAAGAAAGAAAAAAAAATTTTAAATATGATGCTGTTGTGATGTTTCCTGGGAATTTTAGAAAAGAAAGAGCTCTAAGTAGGTTGAGTATTTCTTTTTGAAACGTGAAGCTAAGACATCTAGAAATCTATTTGGAACGCTTTTGTCTAGGAAACCTCTGAAAATAAGCTAAACTCTCACTCTCTGGGGAAGCAACAGAGTGGAGTCTCCCTTCGCACGGTTCCCTTTGCCCAGAACCCACCACAGCAATGATCTGAACCCTTTCTTCCTCCCATGGGTCGATTTGAACATCCTATCCAGGTCTGAAAGGCCCTCCCATCTCTGCCTACAGGTTTCTACTTACTGAATAGTTCCTTCGTGAAGTTTCAGGATTGCAAAATGCAGAAGCTTCGTCACGTTAAATACACCTGGGAGGAGCCACGCCTCATTTTTAAAGCTTTCCAGGGCAATGAATGAAGTCAGACCACTGACAACAGCCACCTTGTGGAAAGAGAGGTGTGGTGGCTGCCATCTCCATGCACATGGCAGCCTGGCTGGAGATGAAGTATGCGAAGAAGGCGCTGCAGACCTGAATTTATTGGCACAACCCTGGGACCAGCTGGGGACCATGTAGAGCCTCGTCCCCTCCGGGTACTGTCATGCACATCCTTGGAAGAACAGACTCCATCCTTTTTTCTTTTTCCATGAGGGATGACGAAACTGAAGGTAGGTTCAGTTACCTACACCCCCCAAGTCCTTGAGTGACCTGCCACTTCCTATCCCAAAACAAAATCCTGCTTAGTCCCTGGGAATTCATGTCCTCTGGTTTAGGAGTACTACATCAAGCCACCCAAGAAAGGAGATTTAAACCTTCTCCAGAAAAGTACCAGTCTGGATGCTGAGAACAGAAGATAGAGTGGGTTCAAAGGGCACAGGCCCTAAACTCTCAGGGTTAGAAAGGAACCTAGAGATCAGACTGTGATGGGGCCGGGGGCGGAATGACTATTTTTCTGAGTTTATGTGGCTTATCCCAAACCAGCTCATTAGTGGCAAGTCAGAGGCTGCAGCCTACGCCCCTTGTTCCTGGCCTGGGGCTCTTCCCGCTGAAGCACGCGGCTAATGCTTTTAGAACCACGGCGAGCCCAGGAGGAACCGGGTGAATGTCAGGGCTGCCCTCCCACCCCGCCAACGCTCCCTTCCAGGATAATGATGATAGAATGCTGCTGTGACACGTCTCCCGCACACGGTGAGGCTGAAGAACTGAAGAGGAGGCAGCTGGGTACTTTTCCATCAGCTTCGTACCCCGCCTACCCAGTCCGCTTCTCTGAGCCTGGACATTGGAGCTTCCCCAGCCGACTGCTGTTGTTCAGAACATGGAGTTCCCGCTCACACCTTCACACAGCCGACAACCCTGGCAAACTCTGTCCCATCAACTACATCGTTTGTTTGGCCTGGCAGAGTTCTGGCTACTAAACAAACAAAACAGAAAAGTACACTCTATTCCTCCCAGGTGTACACAGTCAGATAAGGGAGACACACCCGTTGAAGTACCCTTCCCCGAAAATATATCTTGCATTTTTGCATTATTATGGATTAATTAAAAAACAAATGTATTAAATTTTGCTTCGCTTACATGGGGACTAGAAAGAAACAGAGGTTGGGCCAGTTGCGATGGCTCACGCCTGTAATCCCAGCACTTTGGGAGGCCGAGGTGGGCAGATCACCTGAGGTCAGGAGTTTGAGACCAGCCTGACCAACATGGAGAAACCCCATCTCTACTAAAAACACAAAATTAGCTGGGCATGGTGGCGTGTGACTGTAATCCCAGCTACTCAGGAGGCTGAGGCAGGAGAATCACTTGAAACCGGGAGGCAGAGGTTGCAGTGAGCTGAGATCAGGCCACTGCACTCCAGCCTGGGTAAGACTCCGTCTCAAAAAAAAAAAGAAGAAGAAAAGAAACAGAGATTGGCCAGGTCCAGTGGCTCACACCTGTAATCTCAGCACTTTGGGAGACCGAGGTGGGCCGATCACTTGAGATCAGGAGTTCGAGACCAGCCTGGCCAATGTGGTAAAACCCTGTCTCTACTAAAAATACAAAAATTGGCCAGGATGGTGGCACGTGCCTGTAATCCCAGCTACGCGGGAGGCTGAGGCAGGAGAACCACTGGAACCCAGGAGTGGGAGGCTGCAATGAGCCAAGATCGTGACACTGCACTCCAGCCTGGGTGACAGAGCGAGATTCTTTCTCAAAAAAAAAAAAAAAAAAAAAAAAAAAGAACAGAAAAAAATAAGAAAATATCATAAGTCAAAGATGCAGTTGAGAACACCTAACCTACCAAACATCATAGCTTAGCCTGGCCTCTCTTAAACACACTGAGCACACTTACATTAGCCTATAGTTGGGTAAAATCATCAAAGTCTATCTTATAATAAAGTGTTGAATATCTCATGTAATTTATTGAACATTGTACTGAAAGTGAAAAACAGAATGGTTGTATGGGAACTCGAAGCACTATTTCCACTTCTACAAAATGCGTATCTCTCTTGCATCATTGTAAAGTGGAAGTGTCATAAACTACCCATCATCCATTGGAGACCTCTGTATTTTACACAACTGACACTGACCTGGGAAATCCCACATAACCACAGCATAAGGGAAGCTTCTCAGAGTCCTCAGCAGCTCAGGTTAATTGGTCTCTTTCAGCCAGGTATCATTAGGAGCCGCTTGCCGCAGAGCCAGAAAGGTGAGGAAGCGAGACCAGTCTGGGCTCCGGGATGCTTGGTGCAGCCCCGGGTCCACTCCTGGATGCCACGGTCACCTCTCTGGGTATCCAGAGAATGCTCTGCCCTTCAGGGGGCTGGACTGGTGGCTCAGGGTCCCTTCCAGGAATTCCACTCTTTAACTCCTAAACAGGAAGGAGTACATTGTGGATTAGATTGAGTGGATACCTCAGAAAGGGCTAAAGAGAAAAAAAAAAAAAAAAAAGCCATCTGAAAGTACATGGATGAAAAAGACCCTCCATTCCTCATCACCCTTTTTTTGAGACGGAGTCTCACTGTCGCCCAGGCTGGAGTGCAGTGGTACGATCTCGGCTCACTGCAACCTCTTCCTCCTGGGTTCAAGCGATCCTCCTGCCTCAGCCTCCCAAGTAGCTGGGACTACAGGTGTGCACTACCATGCCTGGCTAATTTTTGTATATTTTTTAGTAGAGACGGGGTTCGCCATGTTGGCTAGGCTGGTCTCAAACTCCTGACCTCAACTGATCTGCCCACTTTGGCCTCCCAAAGTGCTGGGATTACAGGCGTGAGCCACCGTGCCCAGCCAGCATATCACCTTCCTGAAGACTATGCTTTCTCTTGTCTAGGTGAAGTCCAAACTGCCCTCTCTATCCCTCATCCCCCACCACCAGGATATGACCGCATCTTTTTTTTTTCTTTCTCCTCTCTGCACCAGCACCTGAGGCAGGAGAATGTTGAAATCAAAGATAGTGGGAAGACATTTCTGAGCTCATGTCACAGAACACACCCCCGTCCCCCGCTGGCACCCTGGCCTGGGACAAATCCAGCTCCTTTAGGGTACCACTTCCCTGATGCATGGCCATTGACCTTAGCCAAGGGTGTCTGCAACCTGGCCTGGTGACTCGTTCACCTCAAAGCAATTGCCCAATTTGTTAAATTTTCGGAGAGCACTTTAATAGAGAGAGTAATTTGTTTTTCATCCTTCAAAAGGCAGCCAAGCTTATGAGAAGCCACCTAGGAAGAAGACTAACAGTCAAGCCTTTTCAAAAGAAGCAGTTACGATTTTATGATTTTTAATTACAAGGGCAATCGATGTAAATGTTCTTGTTGTAAAAGATCCAAATATAGGCCGGGCATGGTGGCTCATGCCTATAATCCCAGCACTTTAGGAGGCCGAGGCGTGTGGATCACAAGGTCAGGAGTTCAAGACCAGCCTGGCCAAGATGGTGAAACCCCGTCTCTACTAAAAATACACAAAAATTAGCTGGGTGTGGTGGTGGACACCTGTAATCCCAGCTACTCAGGAGGCTGAGGCAGAGAATTGCTTGAACCCAGGAGGTGGAGGCTGCAGTGAGCTGACATCGCGCCACTGCACTCTAGCCTGGGTGACAGAACGAGACTCTGTCTCAAAAACAAAAACAAAAAAAGATCTAAATATAAAAGTTTATGGAGTAAAACAGAAAGGTCCTTTTATCATCCCTCTCCCCTACTTCTAAAAAACTATTTACCTCTATTAACAGTGTGCTATGTATCCTTCTAGTGTTTTTCTATGCACTGGCATAATATACACATAGAGAGAGACATGAATGGAATTATACGATACAACAATATGTACTAGAGATATTTTCAAATCTCTGCATATATATGACCCCATTATTTTTAATTATCACATAGTTTTCCATAGTGTTATATCATATCTTTTAACCAATTCCATATTGATGGCCATTTAAGCTATATCAGATATTTTCATAATCACATATGGTTCTAAATGTGCGTATTATATATATCTCATTCTTCTATGTAAATAAGGTATTTCAATCATTTCTAAGTTTGTCCTTATCATAAATAACTTTCTTTATAAGCCTTTGTCTGCATGTATGCCTTGGGAGAGATTTCTAGAAACTGAATCGATGAATCAAGAGAGATGAACTTGTTAAAATGAAACACTTACATGTTTAATTATCCAATTACTAATCCACAAGTATACACTATTGTTAACCCCAAACTACATCAAAAGAAAAAAATCGCAAAGGAAACTTACAGAGAAAGTTCTGGGTATCTATTACCAATTATACCATGAGTTTGGCCTGAACCATCTCAGCCATTCTCAGATAAAATAGAGTTGGATGTAGCAGTCACAAAAGCCAAAAGGCTCTCCCATAAATACACCAGGATAACAATTTAAGCCAAAGAGTTTTACTTCTGTATTAGCCACTCCGTAGGAACAGTGGGTTCTTGCAGCCAGTTACACAGATGGTGTAGACAAAGTGTCCAGGTTTTAAAGATGGACAGGCATGAATTTGAATCTATCCCTACAAATTGAAATTTATTCTCTCATAAGGCCTTTATTTTATTTTATTTATTTATTTGTTTTTTTGAGACAGAGTCTCACTCTGTCACCCAGGCTGGAGTGCAGTGGCACAATCTTGGCTCACTGCAATTTCCACCTTCCGGGTTCAAGTGATTCTCCTGGCTCAGCCTCCTGAGTAGCTGGGATTATAGGCACCCGCCACCACACCTGGCTAATTTTTGTATTTTTAGAGAGATGGGGTTTCACTATGTTGGTCAGGCTGGTCTTGAACTCCTGACCTCGTGATCCACCCTCCTCGGCCTCCCAAAATGCTGGGATTACAGGCATGAGCCACTGCACCCAGCCAAGGCCTCTCTTATTTGTCTCTTTCCATCACAATCTGACACTGCCCTCCTCTCTGCACACATCCCTGTTCTCCTAAATTTAACTTTTCCTGCCTTGGCCACCAGATTGATCTTCCCCACACACCAATTCATCTCTCTCTTCTTGCGAGGCTTCCCAATGCCTAATAGGAATAGTTTTGCTTCCAACTGAAATGTACAAGGTTGTAACAAACCATCACATCCACAGCTACAACAACTGAAAAAAGAAAAAGGAAACTGGATAAGCTAACAAAGACATATTTTTCAAAAAGCTATTGGGGAACTATTAATTCAAAAAACTCAAGAGAGCAAGGACTCTTCCTGGGTGAATGGAGACGGGCACCATTCCCTGGAGATGACGGCTGAGTCTGGATGGGCAGGTGGGTGGCTGGTTTTGCCACAGACTAAGGGAGATGCAGGGACTTTTTGAAGATTCAATGAGATAAAAAGATATCAGTCTGGTACTCTCTTTCCACCCCATCCTTGCCTTCTGAATATCCAAAGTCTATTTACATTGATTTCAACTTGTGAAATATTTGAGCTGGAAAATATATTTTGGGTTTTCCTGGTTCAATGGTTTCAACCTAGGCTGCAGATTAGAATAGCCTACAGAACCTCTAAAAATACCCATGGGGACGGGGGACAAAGCAGTATTCAAACCAATTAAAACAGAATCTCTGTGGGGTAAGGCTCAGACCTCAGCACTCGTGAAAGGTCACAAGATGATTCTGGTGTGCGGCTAAGTTAAGAAGCGCTGGCGTAGTTCAACCCACTCATACCATCCTGACTAAGACAGGTTGTAGTCCCTTAGTCCATTTGCCATTTGGGCCGGTTATAACAAGATTCCTGGGACTGGGTCATTTATTAAAACAGAAATGTATTTTCTCACAGTTCTGGAGGCTAGGAAGTCCAAGATCAAGGTGCCAGCATCCGGTGAGGGCCTTCCTGCTGTGTCCTCAGATCACAGAAGGTGGGAAAGGGGAAGAGGGAGCCAATCTCTCCATCAAGGCCCTTTATAGGGTACCTAATCCCATTCACAAGGGAGGAGCCCTCAGGGCCTAATCACCTCTCAAAGACCCCACCTCTTTTTTTTTTTTTTTTGAGACCGAGTCTCGCTCTGTCGCCCAGGCTGGAGTGCAGTGGCGTGATCTTGGCTCACTGCAAGCTCTGCCTCCCAGGTTCATGCCATTCTCCTGCCTCAGCCTCCTGAGTAGCTAGGACTACAGGCGCCCGCCACCATGCCCGGCTAATTTTTTTTGTATTTTTAGTAGAGACAGGGAGGGTTTCACCGTGTTAGCCAGGATGGTCTCGATTGCCTGATCTCGTGATCTGCCCGCCTCGGCCTCCCAAAGTGCTGGGATTACAGGAGTAAGCCACTGCGCCTGGCCGACCCCGCCTCTTAATACTGTCACATTGGCAACACCTGAAATTTGGAGAGGACACATTCAAACCATAGCACATCTCTTATATTTTATGTGTTAAACTATTTTATACCATAGCCTTTTACCTCCTGAGGGCTCAGGCTATTTTTGGGTCACCCTTGTCTCTTCCACAGCACCCAACATAACACTTTCCCTGTAGTAGGAGTCCAATAATTGTTTGTGAGGTGGTTGATGCAATATGCTTCCAGGAGATTTAGCCTTTAGGAATGCAGCATCAGGAACAAAATGCTTTTTTAAATGTTCACATTTTTAAATTGTAAATTGGCAAATAATATTTATATATGGCTAGGGTACAAAGTCTTGTTTAGATTTATGAATACAATGTGGAATAACTAAATCAAGCTAATTAACATATACGTCACCTCAAATACTTATCATTTTTGTGGTGAGAATATTTAAAATTTACTCCCTTAGCAATTTTGAAATGTACATTATTATTTTCTATAGTCACCATGCTGTACAATATCACACACACACACACACAAATATTCCACCTGCCTGAGATTTTGTACCCTTTGACCATCAGCTACCCATTTCTCCCATACTCCAGCCTCTGTAAACACCATTCTTCTCTCTGCTTCTTTGAGTTTGACTGTTTCGGATTCCACATATAAGTGAGGACATGCAGTATTTTTCTTTCTGTGCCTTGATTATTTAATGTATTTAAATGTTTTCCAATTCCATCCATGTTGTTGCAAATGACAAAGTTTATTTTTATGGTTGAATAGTACCCCATTTTGTATATATGCCATATCTTCTTTATCCATTCATATGTTGCTGAACACTTATGTTGGTTCCATAACTTGGCTATTGTCAATAGTGCTGTGATGAACATGGAAGGGCACACATCTCTTCAATGCAGTGATTTCAAATATTTTGAATAAATACCCAGAAGTGAGATTGCTAGATCATATATTAATAGTAATTCTATTTTCCACATTTTGAAGAACTTCTATACAATTTTTCATAGTGGCTGTACTAATTTACATTCCCACCAACAGTGTACAAGGGTTTCCTTTTCTTTTCTTTTTTTTTTTTTTTTTTTTTTTTTAATTGAGACGGAGTTTTGCTCTTGTTGCCTAGGCTGGAGTGCAATGGCGCAATCTCAGCTCACCGCAACTTCCACCTTCTGGGTTCAAGCGATTCTCCTGCCTCAGCCTCCTGAGTAGCTAGGATGACAGGCATGTGCCACCATGCCTAGCTAATTTTGTGTTTTGTAGTAGAGACAGGGTTTCTCCATGTTAGTCAAGCTGGTCTCGAATTCCCGACCTCAGGTGATCCGCCTGCCTTGGCCTCCCAAAGTGCTGGGATTACAGGCGTGAGCCACTGTTCCCGACCTAAGGGTTTCCTTTTCTCCACATCCTCACCAACACTTGTTATCATTTGTCTTTTTGACAATAGCCATTTTGACAGGTGTGAACTAAAAATCTCATTGTGGTTTTAATTTTCATTTTCCTAATCCACATGAATGCATTAATGACGCATTAATCAACATTAGTAATATTGAACATATTTTTATATATCTGTTGGCCATTTGCATGTCTTCTTTTGAGAAACATCTATTCAGATCCCCTGCCTTTTTTTTTTTTTTTTTTTTTTTTGAGATGGAGTCTTCCTCTGTTGCCCAGGCTGGAATCCAGTGGCACGATCTCAGCTCACTGCAGCCTCTGCCTCCCAGGTTCAAGTGATTCTCATGCCTCAGCCTCCCGAGTAGCTGGGATTATAGACACGTGCCACCACACCCAGCTAATTTTTGTATTTTTAGTAGAGACAGCATTTCACTATGTCGGCCAGGCTTGTCCCAAACCCCTGACCTCAAGCCATTTGCCCACCTCGGCCTCCCTCCCAAAGTGCTGGGATTACAGGCATCCTTGAACATTTTTTAATCAGATTATTTGCTGTCTTTCCGTAGAGTGGTTTGAGAAATGCATTTTGAAAACCACACATTTAACACTTCAAAACAAGGAGAGAGAATAACATTTCCAAGCCAGCAAAATGAACAACTTTATATTGGCCCAGGAAAACTGGGGGTGAATATATTTCCAGGGAAATCACAACAATAACAGTGAAAGAAAAGGTCAGTTTTCATTCTCAAAAGGCCCTGCTCCACTGGGTCTCTTACCTTTCTGGAAACTGATTAACTTTTCTCCAATCCAAGGTGAGTCCAGGAAAATAACAAAGGCATTGGCTTGATGGCCACTTGGCAGCCATTGTTACCTGATTTATTGCCTGCTCTACCCAGGGTGACCTGTGTGATCTGGGGCAAATATTCTAACCTCCTACATTTTTAAACCTCTCAGCCTGAGTTTTTTCATATATTAAATAGGAAAAAATAAATAACCAGCTCATAAAGTGGTGGGGAAGATTTCATGGGATGCTCTAAGACTAAAACCCACTGCAGGTATTCTAATAGGACACTTGTTTCTTCTTTGAGACTATTGATTTATTCATTCCCTAGTAGGAAAATCAAGTTCATATGAGACACCCCTGTCAAGACGAGGAAGGGTTCCTTAGGAGGGGTCTGGAGGACACTCCATCACGGAAGTGGAATGGGTCAGGGCTCTGGACTGGCCAGGAGAGGAGAGGGAGGCGTTCCTTAGGAGGGGTCTGGAGGATAAACCTTCACAGTGGAATGGGACAGGGCTCTGGGCTGGCGGGGAGAGGGGAGCTCAGCTTTTCGCTTAATGAAGGGAGAGCTGAACTCTTGAACCGATTGGATGTATTTTTCCTTTGTTTGGCCTTGGCCTGAACTGGCCAAGAAGCAGTGGGCGGATGGATGTCACTGCCTATTTCCTCCCAGTTGTTTTTGCAGGCCTACATTTTAGAAGGCTAATTGTTAGAGTCCTCATTTTTCTTCCCCACAAGAAGAGGGCTTTGTTCAACAATTAAATCAGGCTGTGTCAGAGGCAAAGCCTTTCCATTTTTGACCAAGGTTTGGCTCCAAACATAAAAGAAATTTTGGCTCTATTTCATTTAGCTGACAATGTTTCCTCCCTCAGAGCCTGAACCGAAGTTTTCTACCCAAAAGAAACACTGGCCCCACCGTGACGTATCCTAACATCCAAATACCAGGAGGTGAGATCCCTGGTAGCCAAGCCGAGAATGAAGACAGCCGTTTAGACATCTTGCTTCTGCTTCCAGTGAATGAATGAAGCCAATGTTGCCCTTGGTTTATCTACATAATGGCCTCGGCCCTTCATCTGACTTCGTTTGGGACTTGTTGCATGTCCGGGTCTGGGCAACAGACCCACAGGGCAAGGGCGCCGCACCAGCCTCGGGTTAGGGATGCAAGCTGTTGCATCTCAGGTGGCTTCTTCGGCACCTAACTTGTAAAATGGACATTTTTCTCCAGCGTCCTAGAGCTGCTGTCTAAAGCAACTGCTTACGATGGGAACAGCAGACACTGGGGATTCCAAAAGCAGAGGAGAAGGCACGGGAATCAAGGGTACTTAGTTCACTTCTTGGGGGACAGGATGATTAGAAGTCCAAGCTTCAGCATCATGCAATATACCCACGTAACAAACCTGCACATCTCCCCTCCAAATCTAACATTTTAAAAATATTAATATATAAATAATACATAAAATAGGCCGGGCGCAGTGGCTCTTGCCTGTAATCTCAGCACTTTGGGAGGCCGACGCGGGCGGATCACCTGAGGTCAGGAGTTCAAGACCAGCCTGACCAACATAGTAAAACCCCATCTCTACTAAAAATTTTTAAAAATTAGCCAGGCGTGGTGGCAGGCGCCTGCAGTCCCAGCTACGCAGGAGGCTGGGGCAGGAAGAATTGCTTGAACCCGGGAGGTGGAAGTTGCAGTGAGCCGAGATCGTGCCACTGCACTCAATCCTGGGAAACAGAGTGAGATTCCATCTCAAAAAAATTAATAATAATAATAATAATAAATAAAATAAATAAAAATAAAAATGTACATCAAGAAAAAAATAAATAAATCAAGTGATTGTTACCGGATTAAAGGATTGTGTTCTGTGTTTTTAATCTGAGTGTAAACTGCTCCAGTCCTTTCTTTGGGAAATTCTGTCCAAATTTCCCTGTGCAAGTCACATGGCAAATTCACTGTGTCAATGGGAGACCCTCAGGAAGCCTGGGCCCAGCCGGGTGAATGGCCATCACCAGAGATCAACCCAGGGCATCCAGGCCATGGGGAGGAAGTGGGAGGCTAAAGGGATTGCATAGAGGGTCTTCGAGAAGAAGGAAGAGGAGGCGGCTTTCAGGAGAGAGAAGGAAATTGTCTTCTTATCAGTTAGCCGTAGCTGCCATATCCGGCATCCTAGAACATTCTCCCTAATGCTACTTAGAGCTTCTGACAACTCCCAGGGCACTGTTTGCCTTCTCACTCTTTCCAGGTAAGTAGTTTTAACTGAAAAGAGAGCCACATCAGGCTGGTCTGAGTGCAGTAGTGCTTACAACTAATTGATCACAATTCATTACAGATTACTTTGTTCCTCTCCACTCCCATTGCTTCACTTGACTAGCCTTCAAAAATAAAAAATAAGGCTCACACTTGAAATCCCAGCATTTTGGGAGGCCGAGGTGAGCGGATCACTTGACCCCAGGAGTTTGAGACCAGCCTGGACAACATGGAGCAACATGGAGCAGAAATTTAGTCTCTACTAAAAATACAAAAATTGGCTGGGTGTGGTGGTGCACACCTATAGTCCCAGCTACGGGGGAGGCTGAGGACGGAGGATCCCTTGAACCTAGGAAGTTGAGACTGCAGTGAGCCCTGATCGCACCACTGCACTCCAGCCTGGGCGACAGAGCCAGACCCTGTTTCAAAAATAATAGTAATAATAATAATAATAATAAATCAAATAGGCCGGGTGCAGTAGCTCATGCCAGTAATCCTAGCACTTTGGGAGGCCAAGGCGGGCAGATCACAAGGTCAGGAGTTCGAGACCAGTCTGGCCAACATGGTGAAACCCCGTCTCTACTAAAAATATAAAAATTAGCCAGGCATGGTGGCGTATGCCTGTAATCCCAGCTACTCGGGAGGCTGAGGAAGGAGAATTGCTTGAACTCAGGAGACAGAGGTTGCAGTGAGCTGAGATCGTGCCACTGCATTCCAGCCTGGGCAACAGAGCAAGACTCCATCTCTAAATAAATAAATAAGAGAGCTAGACCACAAGTCAAGTTGTTTAGTCCCAGCAGCTGTGACACCTGACCTCGCTTTCCCTCTGTGAGCCTCAGTTTCCCCACCTGTAAAGTGGTGGAGTTTAAACTTGCAGATCTCGAAGGTCCCAGCTCAAGCAAACTGGGCTTCTAAGACTAAAAATCTCATTTTATGGTGAGTGTATGCTAGGAACTGTTTCTTTCATTCATATCTTATAAAATGAACTCCTAGCTTTCAGCACAATCTCGGGCCATTAATAGGAACTCTCCCTCTCAATTACGAATGAACGAATGAACCTGATTTAACCCAGCCTTTCTCACTTTTACATAACACCCTCTGGGTGATGAGGGCATTTCCAGTCCAACGTGCTTATATCCTTAGCTGCCCTTTCCAGCTTCTCATCCCTCCCTAATCCTTTGTGAGCTGTGGATTTAGAAGACCAAGAATTACTTGTCTCGGTCTAATCTGCTTGCAAAAGAACTAATTTATTACCGTGTAAGAGAATAGCGACAGAATCTTAGCCCAGATTCTCAACTGGGCTAAGGTGTGCTTTGTAGGAGGACCTGCCCCAGAGCACCTGCTAAATACAGCTTTTCTGGATGCTGCGCCCAAATTCTCAGGCCTGCCCCGAATTGGAATACGGTTAGTGTTTTCCTCAAAAAGAATGAGCAGCCAAGTTGGTCCAGAAAGACCATGGTCCCTCCAGAAATTCCCTTCCCCATGGGCTTCACTAATATTCCTGCAGCCTGTGGTGGTTAAGCTGCCTGGGAAACAGGAAGTTTGGTCTTCACTACGTGGCCTTCACTTCGTGTTTCCCTGTGTGTGTGGTACATTCTCAGCCCTAACAAGCGAGTTGATGTCTGCTCTTCATTTGACATCCAAACAGCTGAGTTAAGGCCACGCTCTCCCCTCAATGGGATGAGGAAGAAATCGCTGACACCAGCTTCAGGTGCAGTGGCTCACACCTGTAATCCCAACACTGGAGAGGCTGTGGAAGGATTGCTTGAGCCCAGGACTTCAAGACTAGCCTGGGCAACATAGTGAGGCCCCATTTCTACAAAAAATAAAAGTATTAGCTGGGCGTGATAGTATGTACCTGTAGTCTCAGCTACTCGGGAGGTTGAGGTGGGAGGATTGCTTGAGCCCAGGAGTTCGAGACCAGCCTGGGCAACATAGTGAGGCCCTATCTCTACAAAAAATAAAAACATTAGCTGGGCATGATGGCGCACACTAAGTAATCCCAGCTATTTGGGAGGCTGAGGTGGGAGGATCACTTGAACCCAGGAGTTGAAGGTTGCAATGAGCTATAATCGTGCCACTGCACTTCAGCCTTGGGCGACCTAGCAAGACACTGTCTCAGAAAAAAAGAAAAGGAAAGAAATAGCTGACACATTGCACTCCTAAAGCCTGGCAGTTATAAAATGACAGAAGAATAATTTCTCTCACACCTTCCCCACTCCATTTGAGGAGCTCTGCAAAGTTGAATTAGGGAAAGAGAACAGGCCCCAGAAGGAAAACGTCTCAGCCTCTATGGGGAGCGTTGCAGGAAGCGGCTGCCTCCACTGATGGGACTAGGGTGACAGCACCCAGAGCCTGCCCAGGGTCGTGTCCCAGTTCCCTTCCCAGGGGGAAGAAAGGGTGTCTCCAAAGCGAACACTGTGGGCTTCCTTTTCTTTCTTCCTCCTCTCTCTATGCTTGCCATTCCTGACTAACTTCATCCATGATGCCTTCTGGGATTTAATAACTAAGTAAAGATAGTCTTGGTTGAGTTTCCTTCAAATCTCAGAACTGACAAAATATTCTCAATATGTTGTCCCAGGACCAGCTGCTTGGGACGTGCGGCAGTTCCGAGGATTACAACATGGTTGTTAAAGGGATCTCTCTTTTTTTCTCTAATGAAACGCGCTCTGGAGCACTGGCTTTCTTCACAGATCTCTTGGTTGTCTTGGAACTTGAAGGACCTGAGCATTCCTAGAGAATCAATTAGACGTTAGCTCTGGTAGGGTGTTGCCGAGTCTTCCAGTATTTTTTTATCCCTAATACTTAGAACAGTGGCTTGCATATAACAGGCATTCAGCAGATACTTGCTGATACAGACAGCCTCCCCCAAGTCATATTATAAAAGCCTCACTGGAAAAACTAAGACAAGCCCCTTTGGGCTGGTCAGTAACTGAATCTGCTATAAAGTAAATTATAGAAATAAAATGTTTAGGCCGGGCGCAGTGGCTCACGCCTGTAATCCCAACACTTTGAGAGGCCGAGGTGGGCGGATCACCTCAGGTCAAGAGTTCGAAACCAGCCTGGCCAATATGGCGAAACCCTGTCTCTATGAAAAATACAAAAATTAGCTGGGTGTGGTAGTGTGCACCTGTAATTCTAGCTACCTGAGAGGCAGAGGCAGGAGAGTCGCTTGAACTCAGGAGGTGGAGGTTGCAGTGAGCTGAGACCACACCATTGCACTCCAGCCTGGGCAACAGAGCGAGACTCCGTCTCAAAAAAAAAAAAATGTTTACAGAACACTGCTTCAGGGCACTACGGTGGGAACAGTTTCATCCCACAGGTTCGCCTGCACACATTAGAGACCATGCATAATAGTTAAGGCGCATGAGGAAAACGAAGTGAGGATGTGGCTGGGCTGCCATCAGGCTGGAAAACGAGGTACCTGCTTCTGTACATAGGGGTGATGGTGTACCCTGGCCAGGCCCGTCCTGGGCAGGAATATAAAGTGTTAAATATTCTGGAGAGTGGGAGGCAAGGAGTTCATGGAAATCAGAGCTTGCAGAGACTTAGTTCAGAGACTTAAGAATTCATCTACAAAGGAATGATCATGAGTCCACAGTAGTATAAATAAATGACTGAATAAGTAAATAAATGGGGAGACGGAACAGATTTTCCTTATGAAAGAATTACAAATAAGTGTAAAAGGAATAAGGAAAATTGAAACTCACGAATAAGGGCCTGGCAAGGTAGCATAAGCCTATAATCCCTGCACTTTGAGAGGCTGAGGCGGGAAGAATCACTTGAGGCCAGTTAAAGACCAGCCTGGGCAAAATAGTGACACCCAACTCCACAAAAAATTTAAAAATTAAGCAGGACATGGTGGTTCACACCTGTAATCCCAGCTACTCGGGGGGCTGAGGTGGGAGGACTGCTTGAGCCCAGGTGTTAGAGGCTGCAGTCAGCTATAATTGTGCAACTGCACTCCAGCCTGGGTGACAGAGTAAGATCCCCATCTCTTAAAAAAAAAAAAAGAAAAGAAAGCAAAAAAAAATTAAAAAAAAGAAAACCACCATTAGAACACCACAATACAAATAATATCTGCTGCAAGGAAAATACACTAATGGATGCTAAAATTAGAAAGTGAAACATTAAGGAGAAACAGGATATTTACATACCCTCAAAGTATCTCCTTCACTGGTAGTTTTTGTATGTTGAGATGGGGTCTCACTATGTTGCTCAGGCTGGTATCGGACTCCTGGGCTTAAGCGATCCTCCCACCTTGGCCTCCCAAAGCACTGAGATTACAGGCATGAGCCATGCGACCTGGCCTGGTGATGGTTTTAACACATGGCCACAGATTCTTTGATACTGCTCCCTTCCGGAGGTGGAGCTCATTGCCCTCCCCTTGAAAGGGAGCTGGACTAAGTGACTCCTTCCTAAAAAATTGAAAGTTGAAGGGGAAAAATACCAGCCTGGTAAGAGTGGTTAGACACCACCTTCACCAAAGATCAAAGTTAACATCCCCAGAAGGAAGTCCTGTGTGGCCGTGTCCCCTCAGAGAGGATGTCATGAGAAGGGCGCTTCACCTCGGTGGGATTCTTCCCAAAATCCCTAACCAGACTCAGTCCCATCATGAGAAAACATGAGACAAACCCAAACTAAAGAACATTCTATGGCCAGGCGCGGTGGCTCACAGCTGTAATCCCAGCACTTTGGGAGGCCAAGGTGGGTGGATCACGAGGTCAGGAGTTCGAGACCAGCCTGGCCAACATGGAGAAACCCCGTCTCTACTAAAAATACAAAAAAATTAACCAGGCATGGTGGTGTGCACCTGTAATCCCAGCTACTTGGGAGGCTGAGGCAGGAGAATCACTTGAACCTGGGAGATGGAGGTTGCAGTGAGCTGAGATCATGCCATTGCACTCCAGCATGGGCAACAGAGTGAGAATCTGTCTCAAAAAAAAAAAAGAACATTCTACAACATACCTGACTAGTACTCTGCAAAAGCATCAAGGTAATAAAAATAAAAAGGAAAGAGTGAGAAATTGTCACAGATTGAAGGAGTCTAAGGAGATAAGGTGACACCCTGGACTCTGGATGCTGAAACAGAAAAACGGCATTAGTGGAAAAACTGGTGAGACCTGAATGAAGTCTGTAGTTTTGTTACTAGTACTGTACTAATCATGTTAACTCATAGTTTTGACAAGGGTACCATGTTGTTGTAAGATGTTTATATTACGGGCAGCTGGGTGAAACATAGACAGGAACTCTCTGTACTGTCTTTGCAACTCTTCTGTAAATCTAAAATTATTTCAGGCCAGGCGCGGCGG
Organism: Homo sapiens; assembly: GCF_000001405.40. Lineage (NCBI taxonomy): Eukaryota > Metazoa > Chordata > Mammalia > Primates > Hominidae > Homo > Homo sapiens. The sequence continues at coordinate 6,240,548 of NC_000010.11, read as the reverse complement.
CTCACGTCTGTAATCCCAGCACATTGTGAGGCTGAGGCGGGCGGATCACCTGAGGTTGGAGTTCGAGATCAGCCTGGCCAACACAGTGAAACCCCATCTCTACTAAAAATGCGAAAATTATCTGGGCGTGGAGGCGGGCACCTGTAATCCCACCTACTAGGGAGGCTGAGACACAAGAATCGCTTGAACCCAGGAGGCGGAGTTTCCAGTGAGCCGAGATAGTGCCACCGCAGTCCAGCCTGGGGGACAAAGCGAGACTCCATCTCAAAAATACATACCTACTTACATAAAATAAATTATTTCAAAATAAAAAGTTTTCCAAAAACCATCTAGTCTAAGCCCTTTCTTGTACATGTAAGAAATCTAGGAATGCTAACTTGCAAACGTCCTGCATCCTAGCACTGAGCATGAGATAAATAGGAGCTTGGCCTATTGTTTGCAAAGCAGTAAAAGACTATTGTGAATGTAAGCAAACTTCTCAGTCTGTTTTAGAAAAGGGTGAATGTGGAAGTTGGGGATCCGAAAACATTCCCTTAAAATTATCTATGCAAATGTACCCCTCAGAAATTCTTCATTGTCAGGCACGGTGGCTCATGCCTATAATCCCACCACTTTGGGAGGCCCAGTGGGGCAGATCGCTTGAGTCCAGGAGTTCGAGATCAGCCTGGCCAACATGGTGAAACCCCATCTCTACTAAAAATACAAACATTAGCCAGGCGTGGTGGCGCACACCTGAAGTCTCAGCTACTCGGGAGGCTGAGGTGGGAGAATGGCTTGAGCCCGGGAGTTCAAGGCTGCAGTGAATCGACATCATGCCACTGCACTCCAGCCTGGGCAACAGAGCAAGACCCTCTCTCAAAAAAAAATATTAGAAAGTCTTCATGTTCTCCAGGAATAGGAAATCCCCAAAGATGCTGTCTGGAAGAGGTAGGGAGGGAAAAACACATAGCCTTACAGAATGGACATCTGGTCCCCAACGTTATGTGAGCATCTTGAGTTATGACCCACTCCAGAAAATCTGTTGTTCGTCTGGACACTGACAAACCTCTCCACAGCCCCAGGGACAGGAAACCCTGCTTGCTAATTAATATGCGACTCAACTCCCTTTCCTGTGATCTGCTGACTCATGCAGGAGCATCCTGGCAGTCTGTGGAGCCCTTAGGCTGTGATGTGACTCATCTGCGAGTCTAACAGACCTGGTTTATCTCAGTTATGGCTGAGCAAAATCAAGCAGCGTCCTTAAGCTCTCCTGACTACAGTTCCATATCTGAAAGGTGGGGATAATAGCATCTACCTTGCATTTGAAACGCCGGGCATGCATGCTCAGATGAATAACTACCACAGCGGTGCTCTCTCTGTGCCAGGAACTGTCAGGCGTGTTTCATTCATATTTCATCTTCCCCAGTGGGGCAATTCTCAACCCCTAAAGTCAGAAATACCATCCGACCCAGCAATCCCATTACTGGCTATATACCCAAAGGAATACAAGTTGTTCCGCCATGAAGACACATGCACGCGTATGTTCATTGCAGCACTACTCACAATAGCAAAGACATGGAATCAACCCAAATGCCCATCAATGATAGACTGGATAAAGAAAATGTGGTACATACACACCATGGAATACTATACAGCCATGAAAAGGAATGAGATCCTATCCTTTGCAGGGACATAGAAGGAGCTGGAGGCCATTATCCTCAGCAAACTAATGCAGGAACAGAAAACCAGATACCACATGTTCTTACATTTAAGTGGGAGCTAAATAATGAGAACACATGGACACATAGAGGGGAACACCACACACTGGGGCCTATCAGAGGGTGGTGGGTGGGAGGAGGGAGAGGATCAGGAAAAATAACTAATGGGTACTAGCTTACTGCCTGGGTGATGAGATAATCTGTACAACCAACCCCCATGACACAAGTTTACCTATTTAACAAGTCTATACATCCTGCACATGTACCTCTGAACTTAAAATAAAAGTTAAAAAAAAAAAAAGATTTAGTTCTCCCAATAAGTCTGAGAACTATGGCATTCCTTCACATCTTTTTTTTTTTTTTTTTTTTTTTTTGAGATGGCACCTCAGCCAGGCTCAGTGGCTCACACCTGTAATCCCGGCACTTTGGGAGGCCAAGGCAGGTAGATCACCCGAGTTCAGGAGTTCAAGACCAGCCTGACAAACATGGCAAAATGCTGTCTCTACTAAAAATATAAAACTTAGCCGGGCTTAGTGGCATGCACCTGTAATCCCAGCTACTCAGGAGGCTGAGGCAGGAGGATCACTTGAACCTGGGAGGTGGAGGTTGCAGCGAGCTGAGATTGTACCACTGCACTCCAGCCTGGGCAACAGAGCCAAACTCTGTCTCAAAAAAATAATAAATAAATAAATAAAAATTTCTCCAAAGACATTTCTCAGGGACTGCGCCAGGGGTCCTCTTTAGTCCCAAGGGCTGAAGTGTCATATTTTGAGGCGATTCGGGTGTCTTTATGGGGGTTTTCTTTTCACCTGGTCTTAGGAGTATGTCAGAAACTGTAGGTTGAAACCAGCGCCTTCACAAATTGTCTAGACCATCAATGAATTGACTGGAAAGACCGGCTCACACACCGAGAACAACTGAATCCAAACCCACTTATGTTGTCTTGCAAAATATGAGCTTAAAATGAAGTTTATAAAACAGTCTTTAGCTGGGCGTGGTGGCACACGTCTGTAATCCCAGCACTTTGGGAGGTTAAGGCAGGCAGTTCACTTGAGCTCAGGAGTTCAAGACCAGCCTGGGCAACATGGCGAAACCTCATCTCGACAAAAAATACAAAAATTAGTTGGGCGTGGTGGCACATGCCTGTAGTCCCAGCTACTCGGGAGGCAGAGGTGGGAGGATGACTTGAGCCCTGGAGACGGAGGTTGCAGTGAGCTGTCACACCTCTGCACTCCAGCCTGGGAGACAGAGCAAAACCCTGTCTCAAAAAACAAACTTTAGAACTCACAAGTATTGTGAAATTCAGATTTTGAAAACTCACAGAAGGCTTTGAATTTTTGTTAATACAATATTTTTAATTCAAAAAAAGTTACTTTCAACGACATCTTTGCTCACATTTCCTTTCTTCTATAAAGCCTTCCTAAGCCTCCTTCTGCAAGCTGAATGAACGCCTCACTCTTCACCAGCACATCATCTGGGTCTTCTCCCCAGCACTGGTTATCCATTTAGTGACAGAGCCCACTGCGGGCCAGGTCCGTATGGACGATGACGGGGCACAGGGAGCTGCCCTGCTCTCCGGGATCTTAGGCCCAGGTTCAGGAGACAGAGGGCAAGGCATTCAACACACACTGCGAAAGGTGTGCAGGGACTCGGGAGACGGGAGGCCTTTTTGGCATAGGCTTTGATAACTGAATGGGGATGGGGAGGAAGTGTCGGGGAGAACCCCGGATAGCTGGGGAGACCTCCCAGGGGAGGGAGCGGCACTCTCGAAGGCCCTGCGGTGGGTGCACGTTGGCAAGTTCGAAGACCTGCAGGAGGCCAGTGTGGCCGGAGCTAAGGGAGTGAGAAGTGGAAGGAACCGAGCCCAGGCAGCGAATGGAAACGACTGGTGTGTACAACGTCCACCCCTCTCCGGCCCCAGCCCTCCTCTCCCCGACAGCATCCACCCGGTTACTGAATCTTCCGTATTTAGTCAGTGACTGTGGACCTAGCCCATCTCTCAGATGAATCTCAGAGCTGGCCCAAAAGGTCAGAGCCCCTGTGGATCCCCACAGCCCGGCCGGCCCAGGACCTTACGATACACAGACATCCTCTTTGGGAGCAGTCTTTTAATTTTCTGGGTAGTCAGCCTGAAAGGCTAGGCCAGATTTCCGTCAACGCCACTGCTCCATCCCTGCACCTGACACATCTCACGCCATCAAACGTGGCTCAGAGCTTGAGGAGGTGGCCTCAGGTTCCCCAGAACGCTCTGCCCCGTCACGCTGCAGCCAGATCGCAACCCTGGGAGTCATCTCGCAACAGAGGTGCCAAGTCTCTGCCGCCTGTTCTCTTCACAGCGTGGGCGGCAGGCGCCTAAGGGATGAAGACTCACTGGGGAGTCAAGGCTATTTCTGGAGCGCAGCAGTGGGGGGCTCCGGAAAAAAAATCAGACCAAGCAAGACGCTGGTCACGCATACCAGCTGCAGAAGGAACCACTCCAGGGCTTCCTCCACGCATGGTGTTTGCCACGCTCCACCCTGAACCCTGCCCCATCTGCAGAGATGCAGACGCTGAGGCTGGAAGTGAAATAACCGGCTCAACCTCTGGCAGCCAATGAGCGGCAAAGAAGTCACAGAAGCTTGAGTTTTATTCCCTGCAGAAACATGGAAGAAGCCAGGAGATGGGGAAGGGCAGGTGAAAGGAACCTAACATGAAAGATACCTTCTGTAGTGCCAATGAGGCAAGAACTGGTGTTTAAAAGGGCGCGGGGAAGGGGTATAGAATGAAGGGAGTAAAACCGACGTGGGGCCAGGCACAGTGGCTCATGCCTGTAATCCCAGCACTTTGGGAAGCCGACGCAGGCAGATCACCTGAGGCCAGGAGTTCAAGATCAGCCTGGCCAACATGGTGAAATGCTGTCTCTAATAAAAATACAAAAATTAGCTGGGCATGGTGGTGCACACCTGTAATCCCAGCTACTAGGGAGGCTAAGGCACGAGAATTGCTTGAACCTGGTAGGAGGAGGTTGCAGTGAGCTGAGATCGCGCCACTGCACTCCAGCCTGGGCGACAGAGTGAGAAACAGTCTCAAAAAAAAAAAAAGAAAAAAAAGAAAAAAATTAAATTAAAAATAAAAATAAAACATGAAGCCTATCAATTAGAAGAAAAATTGAGACAGCTCATTCTCCCCAAATGCAGGCACTAGACACTCTGTACTTGAACATCCTGTTGAAAGGAAGATAATGAAGTGGTGAGTTGGCAGCTCCGTGGCGCATCTGCCGTAAACATCAATTAAAGACTCTTCTTTCCCCCACGAAAAGACCAGAGGTTTACTTCGTCCATGTATTTCAACCAGGTATTTTATTGGTCTGGCAACTGCAAAATATACAAATTTCTGAAAGGCATCTCCTGTTTGAAAGCTAGCATAGCTTTATATCCCAGGTCATTAATTCAGACAAATACACAGAACACAGAGAAGTCATAAGTCACACATAGGAGGCTCCCAAACCAATTAACAATGAAACCCAATCTCTACAGCTTTCTATTGTTTAGGCTCCTTATACATATTAAATAAATAAATAGCACATCTGCTATCAAAATAATAAAAAAATAAATTTCAAGTATTACAAAGAAAAATATCATTGGTGTGGTTCCAAACAGTTTTTCTTCTCTCTCAAAATGAAGAGCTTTGCCCGTGGTCTCAGGACAGAATAAGGAGGGGGGAAACTCACCCAAAAACAAATAGGCAAAGTTAAAAATATTGGTCCCCGTTATTTTGTGGGGTGGAGAGTTGGAGGAATCAGTAGACGCCAAAAGTTCATGACTGTAGCTCAAACCCAACCCCCGCCCCCGGCCCCCGTCCAATGTCCCCTCAAAAGGCAGGTCACTGGCTTGCAAAGTAGGCAGTGTTCTCCTTTCTATAGTATCTCCCTCCCTGTCCAGATTCATGTTACCTCTCTCCCTATCTAGGCCCTTCGCAAACTAAAAGTCCCGTGTTAGACCAAGGCTTCTGTATTTAGGTATTGATTTTAGGTAGTCAGAGGGGAGAGGGGACCACAGCTATCAAGCCCCTATCTGTATCAAACTTCAGAGTCGATGTTCAAAGAATGAGGCCTGCGAGGGGGACACGAGAAACTATTCTCAAGAGCAAAGCAACAGGCCTTCCATGTCAAATCGAAAAATACAACCAAGTTAAGCACAATCATGCACCCGTGCACGTCCACCCCCTACCCACATATTCTGATGAGACTCAACATCCAGGGAGAGAGAGAAAACTGCGCGAGCCTGGAGCTGCACGGGAATGCGGACAGAGACATCCTCTCCAGCAGACGCCAGCCAAAGTGGGTGCAACGGGCGGGGAGGGCTTGAATGGTTCAGCATGAAAATCCCCCACTTGATTGTACCATACCTGAAGCACAGCCTCAGTTCCTACTCAATTCCAACCAGGAAAAAAACATGCATTCTTTAAAAGCTCTTCCCAAAAAACAAACAGCAACGGCTCTTCTCTCCACGCCCAGTTTCAGGTGTCTAAATCTCCCACCCTCACCCAGGACCTGTCCCTTGAGCTGGGAGGAGGATCTCAGGGCTCACAGCAGAAGGCAGGAAAGAAAAGTGACCTTTGGCACAAGCTTTGAGACATCCTGAAAAGGGTCATTTGGACAAACTCTGCTGCCGAGTTTCCAAATGGTTTCATCTGGGCACGAGACCCCCCGTCCCACCTACCCCAGGGTTTGAGGCAATGAGGAGAAACCAACAGGCTGAGACGACAGGTCCCATGCTTTCCATCACCACAAAAGTGTCATAGACGCCATGAAGGGAAGGCCAGGACAAAGTCCACTCTTCCGACCTTCCCAAGGCACCGGCAGAGTGCCAGGCACAAGGCAGATGCTCCAAGACAGTGTGCAGGCAGCTCTTGAAGAAGTGGCTGCGAGTGAGGCCTTGCTTGGGCCACTGTCCCCACCTGGGAAGAGCAGGGACGGTAATGCAAGTGCTGGGGAAGGATGCCAGGTGTTCCGCTCCCCACCTTCAGAGGTTCCAAGCCCCCCAGGGCAAGACACCCCAACATCTACGTTCCTGAAGAGAAGGTGGGACTCTCAGGTCACACTTCTGCCATCAAAAAAGTGCAAAAGCCAGCAGCTCCAGGAAAGTGTTTCTCAGTTCCCCCCAAGTCCAGGTGGGAGGAGAGAGGGGCCCTGGAGCTCCCTGGGAGCAGGAGGCCCCAGTTCTCATATTTCGGCAAAATACTTCCCTCTCCCCGTGCAGCCAGCCTGCCCTTGCACATCTTTGGAGGCAGGCCACAGGCCTGGAAGGTGTGTGGACCTGCAGGAGAGCCAGGGTGCGGACCACCCAGCCAACTTGCGTCTCAGCTCAGGGACTTCCTGCAGAAGAGGCCTCAACCCAACACCTGTCCAAGTTCGTTCCCATGAGGCGTCTTCCCAGGTCAAGATGCACCAAACAGTCACGTGGAGGTTTTACACATTCCTTAACTTTCAGCAACTAGGAGCCTGCCTCCTTTAATTTTAGGATTCTGCCACCAGTGTGGTCTTCCCAGCTCCAAACGTGCCGGGAGATCACAGAAACGAAACAAAACAGCACAGTGTCCCCAGCGGCCTCCTGTCAGGACCAGCACTCATCACCCTCCCAAGGCTTTGTGAAGGTCTCCGAGGCTGGACATTCCTAGGAAACCCAGAGAGTGGAGGTGGGGGCCCCACGGCTAAAGGCAGGGCGCCAGGGACCCACGTGGCTTTCTGGTGTCCAGCGGCCGAGGGGACACAGACGGTGCCAAGCATGGTTCTCTTCGGCCAAGGCTCCCCCGCTGCTCCACCCCACCCTCTCCGGAAGAAGTCCTCAGGATACGTTTTGCCTCGGGCGGAGGGCAGGACACAAGCTAAGCTGCAGAAATGGAAATGGAATGGAACCGACACGTCTGCCTCAGTGTTTCCTGGAGGAGTCAGCGCTGCTCCGGGAGCCTTTCATGTTCTGTTTTCAGGAGAAAAGAGAGGTGGGGAGGGAGTTAGGATTTGTAGCTGGCTGAATTCTAAAGCAGAAGACGCGAGCCATGCAACGGAGAATTCTTCCCTCCCTCCATCCCAGACAAAGAACATGATCCAAGAAAGGTGCTGCCAACCTCACAGGCGGGAGAGAGCCCAGGTGGGCCTCAGAACATGACGCAAGATAACCCCAGAGTCTCAGAGAAGGGGCTGGGCACCAGGCCTGGAGCCCGCCTGGTGGGGGCCGTGTGGCTCCTGGAGGACCGTGAGCTGCGCGGCGCTGGGCACCAGTAACTACAGGAGCCTCATGCTCACGACCCCATAGAAATCCCACAAACCACAGCCAGGCAGAGGATGAGCCCGGGGCCTCCAAGGACACACAGGGCCCCTCCTCTCGACTCAGCTCAAAACAGAGCCACACTCCCAGCTCCTGCATCCAGATTCTGGGAACAGAGCTTGACAGGCAGAACACAGGTGATACATGGAATGGCTGGACGTGGTGGGGAGGCCCAGGTGGGGAGCCAGGCAGAGGGGTGTTGTTAAAGCCCTGCCCCACTTCTGATCACAGTGGCCCTCGCAGGGAGTTCCACCCCTAAGGCACTGGCCAGTACCAAACCCCCCCGCCACCCACCCCCCGCAAAAAAACATGCTCCAAAATCAGCGAGGAACACAACTGACTGCAGCCACTGCACAGCGGGCCTCCTTCCGTGACCTGCTTCACCTACGCCTCAAAAAACAAGAAAACACACAATGTTTAAAACTATTCTCTCCAGTCCTGAGTGTCTCCACCTGGACTGCTCTAAAGAGGGTGGGAGAGAGCCCAGGCACACAGGGCCACCGTGGCCCATGCCCACCCCACACAGAACTGGGGGTCCAAGGCTGGAGCCATCCACAGGGAGGAAAGTCACGGGGCTGGGCAGCATCAGAGCTATCGCCCAGGCGTGGGCCAGACTCAGGAACCCAGGTGATGGGTGCCCACCGGGAGGTGATGGGTGCCCGCCGAGAGGTGATGGGTGCCCGCCAGGAGGTGATGGGTGCCCACCGGGAGGTGATGAGTGCCCACCAGGAGGTGATAGGTGCCTGCCAGGGGATGACGGCTGCCTGCGGGGGTTGATGGGTGCCCGCCGAAGGATGATGGAAGTGATGGGTGCCCACTGGGAGGGGGCAATTCTCTTCAGAGAGCCCTGGGTCCTCATATCTAGGGAGAGCCCCAGCCGGGCTGTGGGATCACAGAGCAGGGCTGACATTTCCCTCCGCATCTGCTGGCTCCAACCTGTCCTCAACACCACCAGCCCACAGCTTCCGGCACCCACAGGTGATGGCGATGCAACAATAACAGTGGAGAGCCTGCAAGACCGGGTGATGTCCACGTCCTTCACCCAGGGGCCCCAGCTCAGGACACGTGGGGGGTGAGAGACAGACTAGAAAGGACCTCACGACAATGGTGTTGCACTTAACAACCTCGGCATGGAGACAGATGAGCCCCGCATTGCACGATGGCCAGTCTGCACACAGACCCAGATGCCGTGACGCGGTGCGGGACAGAGGGACATGCACCCAGGCATTTACCTTCCACAGTTAGTAAGGAGAAAACTTTGAGAAAATGTGACAGACAGTTCGTCTTTCAAGCAGAGTGGGGGAGAGGAAGAAACAGGTTGGAAAAGGAAAAAAAAAAAGAAAATCTTTAGTAGGATTTTCTAGTGTGCATTTGAAATTTTAAAAATGAAGGTTGCATCACAAATGCCAGGTGATCTCTCGATCCCAAGCAGCCGGCACAGCCCCCAGGAAGGCACCCCAGAGCACCAGGTCCGGACAGTTGTTCGTCCCCATCTTACTGGGAAACCAAGATCACAGGGGTGAAGACTCTAGGCTGGGCGTGGTGGCTCACATCTGTAATCCCAGCACTTTGGGAGGCCAAGGCGGGTGGATCACCTGAGGTCAGGAGTTTGAGACGAGCCTGGCCAACATGGTGAAACCCCATCTCTACTAAAAATACAAACATTAGCCGGGCATGGTGGCGGGCGCCTGTAATCCCAGCTACTCGGGAGGTTGAGGCAGGAGAATCGCTTGAACCCGGGAGAAGGAGGTTGCAGTGAGCCAAGATCGCGCCACTGCACTCCAGCCTGGGCAACAAGAGCAGAATTCCATCTCAAAAAAAAAAAAAGACTTCAGGCCATGGCCTTGAGACCCCAGGGATTTCCCCTCCCCAAGTCTGGGTGTTCCTGCTGCCCCAGAGAAGAAATCCCTCAGGTTACAGGAGGGTATCCAAAGGCTGACCCAATGCCAGCAAGCCCAGAAGTCTCCACAGGCCCAGGGCACCAAGTTCCTCCCTGATAACAACAGCAGCCGTCATCCCCCACGCACTTCCTAGGGGCCAGATATTGTGCTAAGTGCTGTATCTATAGTCTCATTATGACAACTTTATGAAGTTATTATCTCCATATTACAGATGAGGAAGCTGAGGTCCTAGAATTGCTTTAACTTGCCCAGAGTGCCAAGGATAGAGGCCAGGAGGAGTAGAACCAAGATGCAGGCCTGGCTTGGTCTGACTTTCATCATAAATTCTGGTCACAGAGCCCAGGTGGACTCCTAGAATCAGATGTGGCTACAATCCTAGATGTGGGGTCACGCACCCAGGATGGACGGGACAATGGGACTCCAGAGTGAAATTCCAACCTGAGTCAGGTGTGATGGGTCCATCGGATGTATTTTTGCTGAACAGGAGGGATTCTAGCAAACGCACTATTATGTTCATCTTGGAGATAGGTAAGATCAGCTTTAGCGGGTGGGGGACTATCCCCGAATGGCTCCTCCCAGTAGAAAGATTTCTTTCCTGGCAACATGAGGCCACGTGTCTAACGCAGGGGTCCCTAACCCCTGGGCTGTGGACCAGTACCCAGTCCATAGCCCACTGAGAGGCGGGCCACACAGCAGGAGGTGGGTGGTGGGTGGGCCAACATTACCACCTGACTCGGAGGAGCACACACGAGGGATCTAGGCTGTGCGTTCCCTTCAGAGAATCTAATGCCAGACGATCTGAGGCAGAACAGTTTTATCCCCAAACCATCCCCTACCCTGCCATGGTGGGGAAAATTCTCTTCCACGAAACGGGTCCCTGGTACCAAAAAGGTCGGGGACTGCTGGTCTAAAGGATCAGGACATGCACAGATGTAAAACCTTCAGGCTCCAAGTCCAAAAAGTTTCACACAAGGAGAAGCCCAGATCCTGAAGCACTGCACGCTGGCCCCGCGCATCACAGACACTGGCCCTGAGGATGGAGGGTGCGCCCCAAGAAGCTGGAAGTTAAGGGCAGGCCCACCTTAGGTAAGCAAAGCCTGGCTGTGGGAAGCAGCTGCAAGGGGGTGGCTGTGGGGGTACACGAGGGTCCAACAGCTGCCCATGCCTTGCGGGTCACAGGGCAGGGGCCTCAGGACAGCAGCAGGGAACGGGCACCCAGCCCACTCCCAGAAGCCGCAGAGAGGAGGCGGCCGGCTTTCTGAAGCAAGGGGCCTTTCAGGCCCCGGCTCTGCGGCTCACCTGCTGGAAGCACGGGCCGGTCACTCAGCCCCTCAACCATTAAACGGGGGACTGACTGCCCTGCCGACCTCCCAGGGTGGTCTTAAGGAACGTGGACATGGAGGACACTGGTACATCCTCTGGCCCTTCACCCCTTTGCCACCAAAATCTGAGCGCCATGCCAAACCTCTCCCATTTCCAAAGCCAGTCATTCTTTTCAGCATCTCAGGCTGCATTCCTCATCACACCTTTCCAGTTTCTGCATAAAGTAGTTAAGGTAACTTAAGGAGCAAACAGGAAATAAAGGGGCGGGTGTGTTTTTGGGGGGGCAAGGGGATGACACTTCATGTGGCTGTCATTAAAGTTCTGTGGCAGGAAGGCCTCTGCTCCTGGTGGGGAAGGGATCCCAGAGCAGTGGGAACACAGCCCCAGCTACCCAGTGGCTGCCAGAGCTAAGGCTGAACCTGAAACTCTGCAGAGAGCTCTGGGAGGAGCAGAAGTGACCACATGGGTTAGAGATGGAGGCTGCACCCAGCCCCGGGCGTGACTATGACGCTGAGCAGGCTCCAACCCAGGACAAACGGATCCCCAAGGGTCTCCACTCGGAGCTCTTTTGGGGTGTGGGGGGTCCTCATGGGGAGGGAGAGGCTCAGAGCTCAGGCCCCACCACACTCCCACTATTCCCCATAGGTTTGGTTTACAGATTAGGCTCTGAGTAAGTTTTCCTTCCAAAACAAAGGACACTCCTGGGGCAGGAGGGGGCTTTAAGGCTAATGGCACCTGGCACAGATGCAGCTCGCCACCAAGATCTGATTCTGATAAGGAAATGTGGATTTATGCCGAGCCCTAAACCACGGCCATTACACACCACGACCTGCAGCCCTGAGAGGGTAGGGGAGAAGCCAGCGGTCGTGCGGCGGTGTCGGAACACACCCAACAGTAGTGCAGCCACCATGACCGCCTGCACGCTTTTCCAAAAACATTCAGGAATCTCTCCTCCCTACTCCTACGCCCATCTCCTCCTTCCCCCACGGAAGACCTCACATCACAAAACTGCTCTCATCCTCAATATTTTAACAGGCAGGAGGCCAAATGAGCAAGCAGGAAGAAAGCAGTGCAAGCAGCAGCGATGATCGGAGAGATACTTACAGACAGGCTTGCCCTAGCAAAGGCTGCGGAGGAGAAGCAGAGAGAGAAGTCAGTCAGGAGGCAGGGCGCAATCTGCAGGGACGAAGCCCTGAAAAACCCCACGCCGGCCCAGCCAGCAGCTTCAGACGTCCCTAAGAACCTGGCCACCCTGAAGGACTGTCCTCCCAACGCCAGGGGCAGCTCTGAAGCGGACAGGAGGATGCAGCCCCTGCCACTGCGTCCTCCACGACGGAGGTCTGTGCAGCTCAGGATATCAACCCCCTTCCCCAGCCTGGTCCCCCCAAGCATCAAAGCAGCGGCCTCTGAACTTCCAAATACAACTGCACATTTCCATCAGAACGGATGCCACAGGGACACCATTTCAGTTCTGCTGGCTTTTCATAAAAACCCTCAGATCTGAGACCTGCAAGGGAATATGTATGAGAGCTCTCCCAGTCCTGCTCCTATCATGTGCAAAGCTAAGGAGACTGAGGGCCTGGGAGGGGAAGGAACCTGGGCAATTAAATTGCTGCACTCATGTTAGTGTGGAGCTACCACCAAAGCCAGGCCTCCAGGCTTCCGCTAATCACAGCCACCTCACCGTGTCTACGCGTCCCCACCACATGCCCGACACTGGGCCTGATGCAGGGCATGAATCCCCTCATCTGATCTGACTTCTGCACTGCCATTATTCCCCCATTGCCTGGATGAAAAAACTGAGGCCTGGAGAGGTTAAGTGACCTGTGGAGGCTGCAGCATCTCCCAGGTCACATTCCAGACATCATGAGGTCTAAGGAAGTCTCGGAAAAGGCGGGAAGAGGTGGCAGGCTGAAAAGGATGCTCAGAGCCAGCACCAGCATCCGGCTCATCAACAAACCTGACCGGAAGCTGCACTGGGCTGATTTGTGGGGGCAGGCCTGGAGGGTGGAGGTAGGGCAGACCCTTGGGTGGTACCTGAATTTAAGCACAGAAATTCCTACATCTCACATATTTGCAAGGGTTCCAGGCTGTAAAGGAAAAGACCAGTTTTCTGAAAACAAACAGTTTTCTGAAAACAAATCTTAATGTCTGACAACCAAAATCTTCCAGGCCTGTAACCTTCAAAATTAATGAAATAAGTGAAATCGGGTTGGGGTTTTTTGCTTTTTTTTTTTGAGACGGAGTCTCCCTCTGTCACCCAGGCTGGAGTGCAGTGGCACCATCTCGGCTCACTGCAACCTCCGCCTCCTGGGTTCAAGCAATTCTCCTGCCTCAGCCTCCTGAGAAGCTGGGATTACAGGCGCCCGCCTCCACACCTGGCTAATTTCTGTATTTTTAGTAAAGACAGGGTTTCGCCATGTTGGCCAGGCTGGTCTGGAACTCTTGTCCTCAGGTGATCCGCCCACCTCGGCCTCCCAAAGCGCTGGGATTACAGGCGTGAGCCACCGCGCCTGGCCTTGTTTGTTAGGTTTTTTACTACCTGCTGGGATAACCATGTTATTTATGTGAGAAAGTAGCCACTTTCTTTGTTTTAGAAATAACCATTCACGAACGTGAACGGGTCTTGGACATCTCACTCTTCCTTCTGCACTGCCTGCTTCTGCCCTGTAAAGACCCCATCCTCAGAAAGGAGGCGAACGCAGTCACGGTTGTCACCAGCAAGGAAAGCCCCCAGGATCTTAACTTCGGAGGGTGCTTCCTATGTTCTCCCTCAACACGTGAGTGTGTGCACATGCCCCCACAACACACGTGCACAGACACCTACAACATACGCACGCGCACCCACACGCACCCACGCACGTATTCTTGCAAACACACACGCACGCAATCCCAGATCTGTGGCATCACGCCCGGCATGCGTCCCCCAGGCAGGAAGGAAAGGGGAGTGCACTGACTTGTCCAGGCAGCTGCGTGGGCACCTCCGGGGGCAGGCAGCTGGGCAGGGCGGCCGAGGTGGAGGCCACATGCTCCTCAAAGCTGTTGATGCGAGGCTTTTTGGTGGGTTCGGGGCTGGCTAGCGGGGTGACACTATTGCGTCTCATGAGCGGGTTAGGTCCCTTCTTTGCATCCTAAGCAAGACAAAGACAAAAGAGAGAAAGGCGACAGTTACAAAGAAGGGGAGGAAAATTAGCCCCAAAAAAGTTTCTCTGCTCCTGGATTTTAGAGAGGCAAAAAGACTGACCGAGGGGAGTGGCCGGGACCACGGGCCAGGGACCATGGGCTGCTGAGTGTGCGGTGACTGCCAGGCAGCAAGAATGGGGGCAATTCCCTCCCATGCCCCCTTCCTCGGATGGTACCAAAGGATTCCCCACACAGACAAACACGGTGCTTGCAAAGCAAGGAGGGAAAGAATGATGATCACAGCAGAGCGTGAGGTCGGAGAAAAGAGCTTTGCTTCCAGCCTCTCTTGAGAGCTGAGGAGGGGCATCTAGGAGGGAGAGGCTGGGCCTGAGGCTCACAGGCTGGGGAGGGGAAGGCAACTGTGCTGACTCCCTTCCGCTGACCCGAGGCAGGATCTGAAGAGCCATCTCTACTACACAAAGGGCACCCTGGCTTAGGATGGGGCACGGAGGCTGCAAAACAAGCCTGGAGACCAAAGGCGCAGAAAATGTGCAGCAGGAAGCAGGTTCTGCGGCCAGGACCAGACACAGCCCTCCCATGAGAGGGACAGCGTGATGGGGTGTGGGCCTCCAGCCTCAGAACCGGGATCTGTCTCCATCATGGCCCTGCCCCCATTCCCTGCAGGGAAGAGCTCCAGGACCGGCTCAGGCCCAATCCCATAGCGGGGGCAGTGGCTCCCTGACCAGGGCTGTTGTCATATGGCTAAAGGCAGGACAGCATCCGGTGACCCACATTCCGAAGTGGAGGGGGTGACAGGGACCAAGGCGGCCAAGGGACCCCAGCCTCTCTCAGGTCAGCCCACCAGCCAGGCAACTGCCAGCGACTGGGGCGGACACCTCATCCCTTCATGCCAAAATCCGAAGGCCAAGCTTCCTGGGACTAGACAGTCACCTGTTTCGGGAACGCCATGACAGAAAGTCACGCTCGGTCTAAGAGAAAGGTCTGACTAGTACTAGCACAGTGTTGTACTTTTGGCAGCCTGTACACGGTGAATTCAAACTCACTTTCACAACACGCGTCCACCTGAGCAGAGGCCCACTCTACTCAGTCAGAGGCAGCCTGGCCCACCTCCAAATGTCAGGCCTCCCCCCAAGGTAGACAGCAGCTGCACGGCCAGGCCTCGAGGTCTCCTGAAGCGCCTCCCCACCCGCCACCCCCCAGGCCTCTGCTCTCCACGCCTCCCGTCTCTCAACACCGTGTTCTTGGTGGTTCTGAGCCTAATCACAAGCACATGGCGGCGCTGACCTGCTGATCCTGTTTGAAACAGTAACTCTGGAAACTGAAAGCACTGGTTTTAGCTGCCAGAAAGGAAAGGCAACAAGAACTGTGCCATGCTGATGTTAAAGAGAAGAGACGCTGGGCACAACGGCTCACACCTTTATCCTAGCACTTTGGGAGACTAAGGCAGGAGGATCACTTGAGCCCAGGAGTTCAAGACCAGCCTGGGCAACACAGTGAGACCCCATTATCTAAAAAAATGAATAAATTAAAATTAGCTGGGCATGGTGGTGCGCACCTGTAGTCTCAGCTACGCGGGAGGCTGAGGCGGGAGGATCACTTGAACCCAGGAGGTTGAGGCTGCAGTGAGCCGTGACTGCGCCACCGCACTCCAGCCTGGGGAACAGACTGAGACCCTGTCTCAAATAAAAAAAAAGAGAGAATGTATCTTCCTCACTAATATTCATATCTCGAGCTCAGCAGAAATGGGAGGAAGAGGACACAGGAAGAAAGAAAATGAGAAGGCCCCAGAAGCCACAGAACAGACAGGCAGGAACAAAGAGGTGCTGAGGAAGGCAGCCAGCAGGCCCATGGCCCCAGACAGGCCAGCACCTGCAGGCAAGCGGCCCCGGGGCCTCCTGAGCGCCCATCACCCACTAGGGCTATCGTGTGATGATGGCCAGGATGAGGCTTGGGGCCTCCACTCACCTCTGACCTCTCCCGGTGTGTGCAGACGGACTCCACGTTCAGGTAGATGGATTCCACACGGCAGCCTGGAGGGCGTGGGATGGGGGCAGAGGAAGCTGCTGTTAAAGGGACAGCACCGCTTACAGCCCACGGCCACAAGAAGCTACTGTGGCCACCTTCAGGGGGACAGGGCTTGGCAGGGGTTGCTACTCACCATAAGCGACAGGCGTCAGTTTCAGGACGGTGTGAAGAGGGCATTTCAGGTAGGGCATCTCCTCTGAAATTGAAATTGTACACCCACAGTTAGAAATGAGACACGGCCAGGCGTGGTGGCTCACGCCTGTAATCCCAGCACTTTGGGAGGCCGAGGCAGGTGGATCACCTGAGGTCAGGAGTTCAAGACCAGCCTGACCAACATGGCAAAACCCCATCTCTACTAAAAATACAAAATTAGCCAGGGTGTGGTAGCACATGCGTATAATCCCAGCTACTCAGGAGGCTGAGGCAGGAGAATCGCTTGAACCTGGGAGGTGGAGGTTGCAGTGAGTGCATGCATTGCACTGCAGCCTGCGCAAGAAGAGCAAAACTTTGTCTCAAAAAAAAGAAATGAGACATGAGGGTGGGGGAGGCATGGAAAGACCTTTACGGTCCCCCCAACAAGGACCCTCGGAAGCCCTGTCGGGCAGGGGCATCTGTCCCCAGCCACAAGCTGTCCCGGGCAGCAGCTGGCCCCAGAAGAAGACTTTAGCCCAAAGAGTGCCATCAAACCAAACCAAAAGACTCGCCCTCACGGTGACTTAGAGTTGGGAAAAAGTCACTCCCAAACAATTTAGGTCTGTCTAGGGATTCAGCTGCACTGGACTGGACATGCTAAGACTTAACATTTCAATGGGATTGTCAGAGTTTTCCGGGCTGTTTGTTCCTTAGAGGGCACTGAAGAGAAGTGCAGCCCCCACCCCAAGCCAAGACCCTGGGATGTGTGGAGCCAGGGGCGGGTCTCAGGGAGCTGTTTATGAAGCAATGAAGTCCCCGGCATCAACCTGGGCTCCACAGCATTTCCCAAGGGCTTCAAGGAAGCGCTGGACAGAGAGGACCTGAAGCAGCCGGGAGCCGACACCTGTGCCCTTCTCCTAACACCCCATGGCACAGCAGCCAACACAGGGCAGGCCACGGCAGGTCTGCGGCTGACCCCCCGCCGAGTGCCAGTCCCCTCCTCCCTCCATCCCGGGGCCACGACCTGCCCGAGGTACCTGCACTCTTATCCAGGAAGTAGGCAAGCAGGCAGCGCAGGACGGCCTGGTGGCAGATGACCAGCACATTCTCCTGCCGCTCCAGCTCCATGATCACTGGCTCCAAGCGCTGGACCAGGTCCTGGTAGGACTGAGCACAGAGGGCCGGGCCCACGTGAGCTCAGGGCACTCGGGAGGGGCTCTGCCGCTGGCCACAGACTGCATCAGACCGGCCAGAGAGCCACGCAAAATCAATCATCCATCATCAGCAGTGGTTGAGAAGGAGCAGGGTTTAACGTGGACTATTGCTCAGCCACAAAAAGAGTGAAGCCCTCCCCACTCCGCTCCCACACGGGGGAACCTGGAAAACTCAATGCTGTGTGAAAGAACTGGGCGCAAAAGGCACGTGTGGCATCTGACTCCACTGACATGGAATGCCCAGAATAGGCAGATCCAGATGCAGGAAGCAGACGGGCCGGTGCCGGGGCTGGGCCGGGCAGGCGGGAGCGGCTCCTAACAGGTCTGGGTTTCTTTGTGCAGTGAGGGAAAGGCCTGGAATTTGTGGTGATGGCTGCACAGCACTGTGAGTACACTAACATGCACTAAATCATAACTTTAACGTGATGAAAGTGGTCAATTTTAGGTTATGTGTATTTTCTATCAATTTAAAAATGTAAAAAGAAGCAGGAGGGCTGTGACTTTAGAAAAAGACCAGAAAAGCTCCTGCTCCTGTGGGCTCTCTGCTGTGCTAACCAGGGCCCCGGTGTGTAAGGCTTAGTCTGAGGCCAGAGGACAGTGGGCCTGCAGGGGCCTGAGGCACGACACTGCTCAGCAGGGCACGGGCAGGGAGGACACACCAGGCCCAGGAGGATCCCATCGGCAGA